>NC_000006.12:19150909-19302424 GCF_000001405.40 Homo sapiens
TGTATAATTCTCATCTGATGGGGAAACAGAGAATCAAGGAATTTAATGACCAACACCTTGATAAACAGCTAAATTAAGTACTTTTAAATCTTGTTTTAGAATTCTATAAAACCATACTGATATGTTAATTTTAGTCCTTCTAGAAATACCTCTTGGCATCCTAAAACATAAATGTAGTGATTCTTAGAGTATTTCTAAAGTGCATCAAATTTCTACTCTTTTTTTTTTACATTTTATGCATTTGTCACTTTGACTATTTCATCAATATTTTCATTAGGTCCAGCATTGTGATTTTTGCTTTATCTCAGGTAGAATTATCTGGAACAAAGAAGCAGCAACCTAACAGTATGGAGGGCATAATGTGGCTCTTTTTTGACAATTAATCATAATTGGTGGTGGAAGCAATGTGGTTAGTTCAATCCAAAAGCAACTTCTAAAATGTCAAAAAGAAAATATCAAAACAGAATCAAAGTGAACAAAAGCACAGCCATAATCGACAGCCATGCCCTGGATTCCTGAAGCATTGAAAACCTAACTGAAAAGCTAAAAGCCTGTTCACAGCAACCCTACATTTTGTTTTCCCTCCCGCATTGTTTTCATTTCTTTAGTTTTGGGTTTTTTTTTTTTCTAAAATTGAATTAACCAATATTTTCTGGCCCACCAGCCATAGACAAGCTAGGATGGGGAGCAATATAACAAAAGGAGAGAAAACATACCAAGTGATGAGTCTGGAGATGTGATTTTTCAGTTCCTGCTTATATCTTATAGTTGTGTGACCTCGATCACCTCTCAGGACCAGCCACTTGTTCAGAAAGTGTTTGGGCTTGATGTCACCTAGTGTCCTCATTAGCTCAAAAGTTACTCTGATCTCTTAACCTAGTGGGGAGAGGAGAGATAGAAGCATGATGAATTAAAAGAGCTTCCAATGGATTGCCTCATTTGGACTTATTTTCCCATTCCCAAAGGCTGACAATGAGGTTTAAAGGCTACGTGTAGACTGATTTGGGAACAAAAAGATTTTAAATGTTTGTATTAAACTGTTTGAAGTATTATGAGGGATATTAAAATGTCCGTGACACAGTCCGTGTCACAGAGGAGATTTTTCTTTCAATGGAGAAGACATTCTATACAAATACATAATAATGTTGGAAAAAAATCTGAATAAGCCTAAATGGAGTGCTAAAATTACAAAAGTATAAGCATTAGATGCTATAGAAATTCAGAGATACGCAAGACACATCTGGAGGAGCACTGAAGATGATCTTGAAGGAGGGGCTTGGGGAGTGGACAGATTTGGATAAGCAGATGTATATAAGGAGGTGCCCATTTTTGATGAGAACAACATAATCAACTGAATACATAGAAATGCAAGAGGAGATATCTTCCAGGAATAGTGAGAAGAAAGTCATCTTGGATCAGAGGACTGTTGGGAGGTAGGATTGGAGGAGGCAGGGAGTATCCATATTTTATAGATGATGTTCAGGTTGAAGAAGCTAGACTTTGATATTTCATGAGGAGCTAGCAAAGGGAAGGGATTGCCGAGGGAAATTTAATCTTTTAGAAAGATAAAACAAAGGCCAACTGGAAGAACTGATTAAATGAGAGAAGACACTAGCAGCAAGGAGTCAAGCTGGATATCTAGGCAACTGCCAGGTATAGATGAAAATCTAAAGCATTAGCAATGCAAAAAATCACCAGGCATGGTGGCTCACATCTGTAATCCCAGTACTTCGGGAGGCCAAGGCAGGAGGATCACTTGAGTCCAGGAGTTCGAGACCGGTCTGACCAACATGGTGAAACCCCATCTCTACCAAAAAATACAAAAATTAGCCAGGTGTGATGGCAAGCGCCTATAGTCCCAGCTACTCAGGAGGCTGAGGTATGAGAATCATTTGAACCTGGGAAGCGGAGGTTGCAGTGAGCCCAGATCATGCCACTGCAGTCCAGCCTGGGCAAGAGTGAGGCCCTGTCAAAAAAAAAAGGGGGGGGGGGGAAATCCAATATTTTCCAATATTGGAGGAACTTCCTCAATAATTCTCTTTTCTCCTTTTCCTTCCTGATCTGAATAAGCCTCTAGACAAAATTGTATTTTCACTCATCAAGCCTAAGAAGGCATCCTAGTCCCTAGTGGTGGTCTTTGGTTAGATGATATAGAATTGATTTTGTAGTTTGCTTCATGGAGGCCACTGGGAACATTGTTCATTGGGATGACCTTTTGTGTTCACACGATTATGGAGACATGACCGAATCCCCATCCTTAGTTCAAAAAGAAAACAAATCTTCTTCATTATTTTGCTGGCTCTCCACCCTTCTTGATCTCAGCCAACCTTTTTCCAGGGTCTCCCATCTGCTCTCCTCCCATGACGATATTCTCGGATATTTTGTTCCCTTGGAGCCAAAGATACACTCTTTATGTGGTGAAAAAGAGTATGTCTCATCAAAGTCACTCTGGACTAGCTGTCTATAGCCCAGTGATAATAATTCCACTATCTAAAGGAAAAATGTAATTTTACCACAAACATTCCCATGATGATTCAGTCCTAACTCTTGCCAGAGAGAAGGCTACGCCATTTTTTTTTCTATCCCCAGCACACAGGCTGCTGTGAAGAAGCATCTGCTGTCTAATTCTTTTCTATATTAGGATAAAATGCTTTTTGGCTTGCTGATTTCAGGCCCTTAGGAAAAGAGAAAACAAAGTTTCTCATAAAGTCTTCATTGCACAACCAGTTGGTCTGTGTTCTGGGAACCCCAGGCATGGACTTGCGGACCGAGCCACAGGAGCCATAGCTCAGAGATAATCGGGTCAGGAGCTGGATGTGATGTGCTTGCTCTGGGGGTACAGATGGTATCTATTTAGCTAGAATTCTTCCACTGTGGCTGCCTTAATGCCCAGATCATTTTAACTGGCTTCTTATCACATCTGGGAGGGCCAGCATACTTTTCCTAAAGACTAACCAGATAGAGTTTAGTTTTCTACAGCTCCAACAGAATGAGGCATAGGAATAAAAATCCGCATTCACAGATGAATATGTCCTTGAGAATGTATCTGGAGAGCACCTGAGGAAAAAGCATTAGAGTGCTATTTTCTTACCAGTTCCTTCCGAGCCTCCTCCCTGCAGGGCTGCTTTTGATGAAGACAAGGGCACACTGTTCCCATGAAGACTCCTGAGCCAGGTCAGGGGCAGAAGCCAAGGGAGGTGGGGCTACTGAAGGAAGCATCACCTGTTGAAGGCTGTTGGCCTATCTCATGAGAAGGCTAGATGGGAGAGTCTAGGACACACACTTTGTATTTTGCTCTCTCCTCTCAAACTCCAGCTTTCTGTGTACCAGTGAGCTGGCTCACACTGCAAGTACTGGCCATCTGCACAGCATCCCTGGGCACATTCAGAAGTGAACTGGGAGGCCCAAGCTATCCACTGGAAAACAATCACATCCACAGGGCTGTGTGCTGTGTTTGTGTTTGTAATATAATAATAATCATTATTGCTGTTATTGTTATGATTTTCCAAACTGGCTCGTTTTTATGTATTTCCTATTACCCTCACCCTCATGGATATAGGGAGATAGTTATTGAACATGCCTTAAACTAGGACATCTCATATGTCTTACTACTTGCAATTATTATTTCAGGACCATAAAGAATGCAGCCTCCTTTTCTGTCCAGCAAGATATATTTCAAAGCCAAAGAGAGCCATAACACAATTAAAAGGACTAATTGTTTTAAAAAGTCAAGGTGATGAAGGAGGAAGAGTATTTACTAAGTGATAAACATTTGCTTCTTCACAAAGCCCAGATTTTATGCCTCTAGACATAACATGCCTGTTCTCAGAGTTTTAACAATGCAGCTCTCAAAAGACTTCCCTTTGGTTGTAGGCGATTCACAGATTTTTAGCTTCTTACTCTCTGATTAGGGTTGATGTGCCAGGGAACAATTTTTATTAGGTTTCAACGCATCTGTGGTGCTTAAATAAGAGACTGAAACAGGCACTTGTTCCATGCTGTAGGGTGATAAGTTGCATTAATTTTTATTTTAGGCTGTCTCCAAACATGGCTTTTATAGACTAATAAAAAAGCAATTTTTATAAGTTCACAAAAAACAATGAACACAGTCGAGCATAAATATCTTACAACCAGGGCCAGAGGAACATTATGAACTAAAAAATCTGCTGAAAGAGGCACAAAAAGCACAATTCCTAGATGCTGCATTCTCGAGATAAACTCTCACCTACAAGAAAACGTGTGTAAATGCAAATTTTCACTAGTGTTTCTACCCTGTTCTTACCCTGCTGTATTCTGGAACTCTATTTCCCTACTCTTCACTAATTTATACCCATCATACTCTTTAAGATCAACCTCAAATACTCAGCTTTTTTGGAGTTAATATTACCCATTAATGCCAGTCTTCTTTGGCGTTCCTGTAACACTTACTTTTTAATATTTTGTTTATATCAATCCTTAAGGTGTTGGCTTTTCAAAACTTAACTAGATTGTAAGCTTTTTTTTTTTTTTTTTTTTTTTTTTTTTTTTTTTTTTTTTTGAGACGGAGTCTCGCTCTGTCGCCCAGGCTGGACTGCGGACTGCAGTGGCGCAATCTCGGCTCACTGCAAGCTCCGCTTCCCGGGTTCAACGCCATTCTCCTGCCTCAGCCTCCCCAGTAGCTGGGACTACAGGCGCCCGCCACCGCGCCCGGCTAATTTTTTGTATTTTTAGTAGAGACGGGGTTTCACCTTGTTAGCCAGGATGGTCTCGATCTCCTGACCTCATGATCCACCCGCCTCGGCCTCCCAAAGTGCTGGGATTACAGGCGTGAGCCACCGCGCCCGGCCAAGCTTTTTCATAAATATGGAATTTGTTTTCTTTCTGTAAAAAGAATTCTGCAATAGCATCTAAGACCAATGGTTGATATTTGTTAACTATTTATTGGTACTATAATTTATGTGATGCAAAGGCTATAACCCCGTTAAGTTAACCTCCCAATTCTCCCCTACCATAATAATCCTACGATTCTGGTCTAGGAATCTCATAAAATAAAAAGAATATAAATTCAAGGATTCTATCTTTTCTTTCAATGGATCTTATTAATAATACAGGCCCAGAGCAATTAAAAATATCTTGGATTTAAAGAAAATGTAACCTGTCCACAGATGTTGACCTCAAATTCTAATACTTGCAAGTGTTTTAGCAAAATTCATATGGAACACTAATGCCAGAGCTTGAACCAGGGCAGCCTTAATTTGTTTAGGACTCTGCCTGATTTGTTTTTAACCTCTGAGTCTAGATTCACAGTTGCATTTTTCTATTTTGCTTGCAATGACTGCAGAAAATCATTACTTAGTTGAAAAATTCACATTTCCATATGGTTGTTCAGAATATTCTTGGAAAAATTAAATAGGAAATGTTTCAGTAAAATTACTCTATTGTCATATCTCCGGAAGGATATTTTATATGGGCAGAATCTATCAGGCAATAAAAAATTTAAAGTGTATTTTGAATAGCTACCTTACCAAAGCTATAACCGAAGGTTTTAAAATAGTGGTAGTACTACATTACTATACAATTTAAAATGCATATGTGAAATATATTATCTCAATTAATATTTAATGTATATACCAAAATAATTTTCTCAAAAGCTAAAGAAAAAATTGTCACTTACTCAAACCTTTTGTTTACTTACTGCCAAATGTCTGAATATTTGAAAACTTCCAGATGACTGACAGCAGTTTTGACTTTTGATTCTGCCAGTCTTAGATCACGTGATTACCCTTTCGGTTTAGAATATAAATCATTACTTTTACTACTTCTATAAATTTCATGTTCCAGCCACACTATTAGCCTGACATAAAATTGTTTATTGCTTTGATGCTCCATGCAAAAAAGGCAAATAAACAAAATATCCAGGAACCTTAATATACAACCTGTTACCTTAGATAAAGCATCTTGACTTTCTTAGGCCTGTAAGTCAGTTAAGCCTTCCTAAGGTAGCGCTCAGTGTTAAGGTGCTCATTGTTTTGTTCGCTTATTAGAAAACTAAAAGCAGTACCTAAAATTGAGTTGGGAATATAATATGGATAGGAAAAAACATAGTGTTTTTTCTACTCACACACCCACTTAACACTTCTGTAACCAGGTGCCTGTGGAGTGTTTCCCACACACCAAGCAATGGACACCAGCTGGGTGTCTTCCATTTTAATTCAACACTGTCACAGCTACCTGGAGATTGCATCAGATCCCACAGATTGAGGGCTCAGTCCCAAAAAACTGCCCAAACTTAAGATGCCAGTTGTATGCCCCAGTTTGTGACCTATGCTTCTGACCAACTGGCTATAAATTGGAGTCTCCATGGTCCCCTCCTTTGAGTTCAATTGATTTGCTGTGGTGTCTCATAGAACTCAGAGAAACATTTTATGTTTACCAGTTTATTAATAAAGGATATAATAAAGAATACAGATGAACAGCCAGATGAAGAGATACACAGGGCAAGGTCTGGAAGAGCTTTGAGTGTAGGATTTTCCATACCTGCTGAGTTGGAGTGCGAGCGCCTTCTGGCATGCAAATGTTTTCACTAACCGAGAAGTTCTTTGAAATTAGTCATTTTGGGATTTTATGGAGGCATAATTACATAGATATGATTGATTAAGTCACTGGCATTGGTGAGCAACTCAACCTTCAGCCCCTCTCCTCTCCTCAGAGGTCCAGGGATTGGGGGACAGGAGCTGAAGGTTCCAATCTTCTAATCACATTGTTGGTTTCCTGGCAGCCAGAAAACAAAAGATACTCCTCTCACCCAGGAAATTCCAAGGAATGTAGGAGCTCTGTGCCAGATGCTCCTATCACTCAGAAAATTACAAAGGTCTTAGGAGCTCTGTGTCAGGAACCTGGGTCAAAGACCTAACATTAGAACAAAAAATTATCCTAGCACCCCTATACACAAGGGTTTTAGGAGCTCTGTGTGTCAGGAATCTGGGGCAGAATCCACATATATATTTCTTATTATATAACAATATCTCCAGGTCCTATTTGCTAGGAAACCCATTCTATATGGCACCTTTGTGGTGGGTATATTCTTTCCTGTGAACCCTTTAGTGGAAGTACGTGACAGGTGGGGGAATTGGAGGCTCGTCTATAATTTCTCTACAGGAGGGATTTGGGGTCTAGAATACTTGCTTGAAAGCTGGCTTTACCTAGCAAGAATATCGTTTTACTCAATTTGTTATTATTTTGAGACACTTTGGAAAAATTTCTGGAGATGATAAGAAGAATTGTCCATGTTATTTAAAATGATGCTAGCAGCTGAAACTAATAAGTTCCAAACTGAATGCCTTAACACAATAAAAATTTACTTCTTATTCATATAACATAATGCATATTCCTGGTCAGGTGACTTTTCTCAAGTACCAGGTCAAGCTTTCATCTTCTAAATACCGCCTTAGAGGTATCAGTGATGGCTATGAGATTCTCTGAAAGCACAGCAGTCATGTAGAAGCTCTCCCTCGGAGAGCGTTTCCTCAACCACGCTGTACTATACTTCCTGATTCATAAGTTCATGTCTTTGTAGGGATCAGCAGCTACCAGGGATGACCTTGAAAAGATAGGACTCATTGTGCACGGGAGTTTTATTTCAAACCTTCATAATTGAGGCTTCTCATTTCCTTTTTCTCCTGACTTGATATTGATTTTCTTCATGCCTGAATGAGTTTTTAATCCTGCCAAGGTGGAAGTTCATATTTGCAACTTTTATTTCTTATTTCAAAAGAAAATGAAAGCTAAAAATGTCTGATTAATTTTCAAAAACTAGAAAAGGTTAGTTCTTTCCCACCCCCCATATAGCACAAAAATGAATGTGCTAATTTAGCTGAAATGTTATGAGATATGTACTATTGGGTGGAAACCAAGTATGGAAATTCCATAAACATTTCCCACTGTGATATCTCTTCAGAGACACCTGCTCGCTTCCTACCAAACAGATTACTATTCCAATAATAAAAATGTAAATACATTCAACATCAGTAAAAAGAAATTCACCTACCAATTTTGGGAAGCCTTAGCTCTCTAAGCAAGTTTTATGATCTTTTACAACATCACAGATGACTCCAGTCATGGATCAATACACTATACACATTTGTATATGAAAATAATGGTAACTGCCCAGATTCTATCATTATCTTCAGCTACAAATTTCAGTCTACAGTTACCATTTCATTATAGTTTTAAATGTTCTCCTCTAAACATTTTTAAGCAAACAACTAGCCTCATGAACACTACTGACTCTTAGTGAAATGATTAGTGGAAGGATAATTGCATGTCAGATGTTGTGTAACTTTTTGGGAGCCAGTTTCCCACAGCATTTTAAGTTCTTGGAATTCCATCGATGATGTTCTCACACTATTCATGCTCAAAAATTCACTGGCAACACACATCTGTGTTTACCCTTTCAATCATGATAATGTCCACAATACTTTTCATATTCCTAGAGGATTAAGTAATACCTCCAGAATCTTAGAAGACAAACATGACTTATGTTGGACTTGAAATCATTCTACCATCCATAATAGGAAGAGTCTAAAATTGGAAACCACCTACACACTAGAAGCAAAAGATGTTCATAACTGCCTATTTCTGGCTTAATAGCAAATTAATATAATGAAAAAGATCTGTAATGTAATGACAGAAAACATATAACCCTGGATATGGATCCCATTTCTCGCTCTTCATCTGCAATCCAGATCAATTCTGTCTAAATTGGATAATTTTTTCAATATATGAAATATGCTGTTGTTCATATTGGTACTTTGTTCACAACAACAAATACACATGGAAGCAATCACAGAATGGAGGAAAGTCATCAGTCTTTCCTTATATAGAGTCGAGAAAACTCTTGACTCATCATTACCCTTTCTAAAAAGGTCTTAGGAAAGAAATATAGGTACCATAAGGTCAATTTCCTACAAATCTGGGGTATAATCAGAATTAAAAAAAACAGAAAACTCTTGAAACCAGATGTGCTCAAAGCACTTGCCACCACTCTTATTCCCACTCTCTTGGCCAATATCATTAATTGATCACATTAGTCTTTCCCACTGGGGCCGGATTCAGGCACAGAATCTTGCTCAACGTACAGTGTTAGCTATCAACTACCAATTAACAATTGAGCTAAGTTGTAACTCAGTATGAAAATCTAGTTGTCATTCTTGACATAGACGATCCCTGGGTAAGAACTAGAGAGAGAGAAAAGCTACACAGTCATGACCTTGGAAATCCTCTCTGTAGATTCAAGTGGTCCTATCTACAATAAAAGCTGCTATTTACATTCTTGCTGAGGCTATTTCCTTCTGATATGATTTTGCCTTGGGAGGCTCGTGAAGCTTTTCTGGCAAGCATTATCTGTAATGACCATATGCAGGGTATACAAAATAACAGAGAAAAAAGTTTAACTTTCATTATACCTAGAGTACCCTTTTTCCTCTGTCAAAGTTTCACCAGTGATTAAGCTGTGGCTATACAGGCTGTCAAATGCAGGAACTTCAGCCAAATAGACTGGGCCACCTACCATCATGGTGGGGTCCAAGAAGTACTTTCCAGGGGAAACAGGTCAGGACCACTTTATTTCTTCTCAGTCTTTGAAAAGTAAAATCTCTGTTGGCCCATAGCCATTTGAGCAACTGTTTCACTGAAAATTATTTCTGCATCATAGACAAAACAACACACACACCAAACCACATGGCCAGTAGCTTTTGTACTAATTGTCAGTCTATCTTTTCTTTCTTTCTTTTATTTGCCCTCATTTCCTCACTTAGTTATTTTTAATTTTTAAAAATCACATTGTGTTGTTTTTAGGCAACTTAAATCATCTGTGGAACAAGGGAAGACATAAATACATAAAAATGAATTAATACGTAAATACATCAAAATTTCCTCCACTAGTCTTCTTATACTATGCAATCCACAAATCTACCACTGAAGGCTTCTGAAAATTATTTGTTTTGATTTTGTTCCTATTAGCTAAAAGGATCTGTTTTCCAAATCATCCAAGAGAAGTATGTTAAAGGCATTAAAATATACCTAAGAACAATAACACAATACCACCAATATTGTAAATCTTACGGTGACATTTTATCCACTGGTGCAATGTCCTTTATTTGTACATTTAAGATATTATTGGGCTTTTTTTTTCTACATGAGGAAGCTGGAGCTATTAAAAGTATTCCATGGTTTAACCAACCTTTCGGGAAACATCAGAGGTACAAACAGCTATAAGAAGTTGCTTCGTGTCTCTAGGGGATAATATTCCCCTGAAAGAAGACATTACTTCCTCTCTTTATTTATATCTGTGAAATCTTGCTTTTGACTTGACCAAGCTGAAGAAAATAATGTCTCTCAGGTAACTGATAGACTGTGAAATTAAGTTCAAGAAATCATATCACTTGAAGAAGCAATCTTTATCCCTGACTCTACCTGCCATCACAGGCTTAAAGAAATCTGGCTTTGAACTCATCCATCAGTTCTGTTTCCTCTACTGGTTTTTGCATTTGGTGGAGGAAACTGGTGATTTTTAGATTGACAGAAAAAAAAAAGTTCAACTGAGAACAAAGCTTTCTTACAGGTATTTTTGCTGGCAGTAGTGTCTTTTTCTCCTTTGAGCCCTCAGAGCATTTCCTAGTTTTGCAAATATTTTCCTTTTGAGGCTGTCTTACCAAAGTTGTCAGCAAGATTTATGATAAATGCAATTTGTAATAGACAAGGGCTGTTTCTTTGTATGACATTGGCCAAACATATTGCTCTTGACCTGAGTATTTGTAATTGTTGGTGGTTTCAACTTCAGTGTTGAAATGAACTTGATTTCATGTTAGGGAAGCAGCCTATTGTCTTGTTGACAAGAAGTGGCTTCTTATTCTACACAATAAAATTAAACTCACTATTTATTGTGCCATTATTTATGTGTCAGATGGTTGGTGTATATTCTTCTGAGTCAAATAAAAATAACAGGAGTTTTTATTATAATTATTATCCTTATCAAGTAGTTTTAAAAACAATGTCAAAGTGATTAAATAGCAGTTAAATAGCTGACTGGAAATTAGAACTTAAACCTAGGAAAATCTGAATTCCAATCCTGTATTCTACACCATTCTCCTCCCATCATCAATATTCTCTAAATACATTTCTCCCAGGCTTCAACTTTTTAAAATACAAACTTTATACTAATCACCTTTCATGGATCTCTTGATGATAATCACCTTAGAGTATGTATATTCCTTCCCATTTCAAGGAGAATTGAAAAATGCCAGAATTCATGCAGCGGTACACTGTACTATATTTGGTTTTTTCCAAGTTTGCCATGAACTGTGTTTGGAACATTTAAGTTGTTATCTGAAGTGTTTAATTTCAATGCTGTATTTCAGGAACCAGTGAAAATAAATCAACAAATCTTATGCATTATTTTTCAATATACACACAAAAAATCATTGTCTAATGTGACTAACATATTAATGAGATCAGACATCTTATTTGTGTTTAAGTCATTCTAAACATTTTCTTTTTAATATTCTGTGGGATTTTAAAGATATTTCAGGGAATTTTGCCTCACATCCTTTATTTTAATTTTAATTACTTTTTTTTTTACCATGTCTACCTCCATTTTTTCTTATACTCCATTTTCTTATTGCTCCATTTTTTTGCGTGTATAAAATATTATTTGATTCAATAAGAATGATATGACACTTATACAAGAATGTGTCTGTCAACTGGAAACAAAACTTACCCAATGTAGTTATCATTTTACTTTTCACAGAACAGTTTGGACCTTTAACACTCCCACAAAGCAATAAGTAGATCTATGTGTTGTTTTAGAAATATTTTATTTCTGCTGATTTTTCTTACTCTTTTCCAGGCATATGCAGCAAACGAATAAGTCTATCTAGCTTTCTGGATTCTGAGAATTGTCACCTTTCAGGCCAGTTTCCAATTGTTCATTCACTTCACTAAGAGCTATGTTTAAGTGCCTGTGTGTGTGCCAGGGACCATACTAGGCACTAGGCTATGGCAGTGAAGCAGATAAAGCCATCTGGGTCCTCGAGAGATCACAAGTCAGGAAAGAAGACAAAGAGAACCTATAATCATACATGTGGCGAGGGCTACAAGAGGAGAAGGACTGAGTGTTGTCTGAACCAATAACAGAAGACTTAATGAGCTTGAAAGATTGAAGGATCAGCAGTATCTTCTCTGAAGAGGTGACATTTGTATGAAGAAATAAAGGAATCAGCCAGATGTCAATGGCAGGGGAGGGACATTCAGGCTTTGCAGGCAACAGGAGTCACTTTTGTGAGGAACAGAAGGTAACATAAGAGGCTGACTCCTTTCCTTGCCCCATGTTCATGGCAAGGATTCTGAACATACTTTATGGAAGTTTATTTTTCCAATGTATAAAATGAAACTTTTAGAAAAAAAAGCTTTTACTACCATATTTCCCTCTTCTCATACATTGGTTGTTTTTCAAGTCTTGACAAAGATAAGATGGAGATGAAGCCAGAAGACAATTGTGTGCTATTAGCAAGGAGGTATTAGCAAGGAGCTATTTCAAGGAATCATTATTTTTCCTCACCACAGACATTGTGATAAGTTCTTCTTTTAATTTATAGTTGTTGTAACTCTATGAGATAGCTATTATTTCTATTTTTGCAATGGAGTAAACCGAGGATGGGGGAGGGTAAGTTACTCACTCTGGGTGAATAGAGCTAGAATTTGAAACCAGCTGTCTTTGACTCAAAAGTATAATGCCTCTACAAAGTAGCAAAGGCACAGAGGGGGCTTATCAAGAGCATAATTAGGAACAGTGATCATCCAATTTACGTGAAGTTAAGGAAAGTACACAGGAGATGAGGCTGGAAGGTGCAATGTGATTAGGAAAGTATACAAACAGGTGTAAGGGAAATTCTTGGCTTTCTACTCAGAGCCTAGCTCATTTCCAAATAGGTGTCTTCTCATCATCACCAACCCATGCAAGGAAACCTGACCATCCCCAGCTCAAGGGGCCTTATATTTCTACAGATAATTTAAATTCCCTCAACCGCAATTGATCAACAATATATGGCAAAGTCAATCACCTTTCATCACTCCCCAGCTCACTGGAGTTGTTTTAGGAATGCACAAACAACCAAAATGAAAGGGGAAGTATAAGAGGTTCTCTAAGAAAAAGTTCCATTGATTTTCTTTTTTAAATTTCCTGGAAGAGATGTGAGACCCAGAACTGCAGCAGTCATTTCACCACAATCCTGAAGTGGAAGCCAATCGAGGTGAGAACTCTTAAGTTTTAAAGGAGAACATGAAGAAAATATCAAAAGATGCTTAAGATCTTTGCTCCTGGAATCACCTGGTGACTTCCCATCCTGGCTTTGCCATATACCAGCCGGATGACCATGGGCAAGGTATTTAACTTCTGTAAGCCACCATTCTATGATATGATCCATGTGGATATTGATAAAACCTCATATGGGTTTTGTGAGGATTAAATGAATATATATAGAGAGAGAGAGCTTAGCATCTCACACTCAATAAATGATTGCTTCATTATTAGAACTCAAGCCACAGTGAAATATTTATGTCTCTGATGAAACAGGAAAGTTAATGGCTGTGTTTGAGTTTAAGGATCTTAACAAACATTACCAAATATTTAATATGCTAAGGCATGTTTCAGTATAGATTTTCTGTATTTGGTTTAACCAATTACTTTCGTACTCAGAATCAGAGTCGGGAAATTTAGTATTTCAACAAATCTTTCATAGTTAACAAAAGAGCAAAGGCAGTTCAATGGATAAGAGATAGTCATTTAACAAACGGTTCTAGAACAATTGGACATTCCATATAAAACAATAATCTAGACACAGATTTCAGATATTCCACAGTTTACTGAAAATGGATCATAGATCCAAATGCAAACTGCAAAACTTTAAAAATACCAAAAGATAACAGAAGAAATCTAGGTGACCATGGGTTTGGTGATGAGCTTTTAAATATAACACCAAAAGCAGAATCCATGAAATAAAAAGCTGATACATTGACTTTATTAAAAATAAAAACTTCTTCCCTGCAAAAGACACTGTTAAGGAAATGAGAAGAAAAACACACATTGGGAGAAAATATTTGTAGAACACGTAATTGATAAAGAACTTGTGTTCAAAATATACAAAGAACCCTTACAACTCAGCAGTAAGAAAATAAACAGTCAAATTTTAAAAATGGGCCAAAGATCTCAACTAACACCTCACCAAAGAAGATATATATAGATAGCCTGGCAAATAAGTGTACTAAAAGGTGTTCAACATCATGTCTTCAGGGAATTGCAAATTAAAATAAGATACCACTGCACACCTATTTGAACGAGTAAAATCCCAAAAACACCACCACCAAATGATGGTGAAGTTGTGAAACAACAGAAACTCTCATTTATTGCTGGCAGGAATGAAAAATGGTAGAGCCACCTTGGAAGACAGTTTGGCAGCTTTCTACAAAGCTTACATAGTCTTACTATACAATCCAGCAGTTACGCTTCCAAGGATTTACTCAAGCTGAAAACTTATGTCCAAAAAAAAAAAAAAAGAACCTGCTCATAAATGTTTATAGTAGTTTTATGAGTAGTCTCCAAATACTGTAAGCATTTAAGATGTTCTTCAGTAGAAAAATAAATAAATAAACTGTGGTACATCCATACAATAAAATAGTCAGTGAAAAATGAAAAGGCCATGAGAAGACAGGGAGGAAACTTAAATACACATTACTAAATGAAATAAGCCAGTCAAAAAAGACTGCATACTATATGATTCCAACTGCCTGATATTCTGGAAAAGCCAAAACTCTGGAATAATGAAAAGATCAGTGGTTGCCAGGAGGGAAACAGGAAGAGGGAAGTGGAGAGGAATGAGTAGGTGACATACGATAGATTTTTAGGGTGATAAGCTGTTCTGTATGATACTGTAATAGTGGATGCATGTCTTTATGCATTTGTCAAAACTCATAGAACTGTAAAACACAGAGTAAACCTTACAATAAACTGTAGACTTCAGTTAATAATAATGTATTAATACTGGTTTACAAATTGTAACAAATACACTGCTCCAAAGCAAGATGTTAACTGTGGAAACTGTGTGCAGGAGAGGGGACGGAATATGGGAACTCTCTGTACTATAATCTAAATTTTTCTGTAAATCTAAATTTGTTCTTAAAAAAGGCAATTAATTTTTAAAAATCAATAGCCATATTTAAGGATTTTAACAAATAGTATCATATATTTAATAGAAGAGTCCATGCCTCAGGGTGTATTTTCTATATTTGCTTCTTATTTACTGAGATCCAGAGTCAGTAAATTTATCATTTCTCCAGATTTGGAACAAGGAAGAGAATCAGTTGTGAAACTGATCATGGTATGTAAAATTATTAAACTGCCTCAACTGAAACTGACATACAGCTCAAGTTTTATACTTCACAGCACCTATGATCCAAAAGAAAAAGGGGACTTTCCATGAAATCAGATTAAATAAAGACTTCAGCCTTGGCCCTTTCCTCATTCTAAAGTTCTGCTATCAGCTTCATAAATCACCTAGGTCTAAAGGATGTAAAACAGTGAGCTTCTCTTGATCGTCAGCTGGATCCAAGAACAAGGTACTCAATTTCATGTTCAGAAATCCAAAGAGCCCGAGGAACACATTTCACAGACTTCTACCAGCAAAGGAAGCTTGCATATTTACTCTGCGATTTGGCAATTTGAGTTTATTTCTGTCACAGTAAGATGTTACAGGAGGAGGAGCAAACTACTAGTGGGTTCTCCTTTTGAATCTGGAATGAATTTACTGATGGTTCATCATCTTGGCCCTGAAAAATACTGTTGTAACAATGAAACTATATGTTTTTAAAGTATTTTTAATGGAAATAACATAGATAACCATAAGAATATTTTTAAAAATTAATTTTCATTTTTCTTGCATACCTTTGCATTTACTTTTTATATTCCTAGTAGTGGCAGGAGTATTAATAAAGCAATGATGATTTTTGTCATTATTACTCATTATAGAATCGTTATAGAACCTGGGAGTAAGTCACTTCTTTAACATTTGGGCTGGGATATATAGGGTAGGCGAGTGCCCTTTTTAGCCACAGGCCACCTCAAATCATTGATGAGTAAGAAGAAAGGGTGGTAGATGTGGTGAGTAGAAAACATAGTGGACAGAAGACAGAAAATAAAACATGGCAAGAAAAGGTCAAGGTCAAGTGGCAAAGGAGAAGCACAATTACTATTCTGAAATGTGAGTCAGGGTCATACTACTCTGCCCACCCTCCATCTCTGCCAGAATGAGGACTGTCCATTCCCTGGTAATGTGGGTTCTTGGCCCTCTACCTGCATTGATAAATTCACTATACTTTGCAACGACTATTTTTTTTAATCATGCCAAAATGCAATTCTAAATACGTAATCATAGATACCACTCCCCTCTCCTCAACAACAGGGTCTGGCATTTAAAGGATTTCCTGAACTCAAAGCTATGGCATCAAGCCATAAAACCCTCTGGGTTACTCTCAGCCTATTCTTGTTTGTTTGGCAACAAAATAAGGCAGAATCAAGAAGCTTAGGAAAACTTTTAAGGAGCTGCAGTCTGTGTGGGATGACCACTCACCACTCTCAATCCCTCCTCCCTGGCAACTTCTCATATTTTCTGTAAAGCAGTGATTTTTCAAAGTGAGGTTTCAGGCTACATAAATCAGAGTCAATTGTCTTGCCTAATAAATATACAGATTCCTGGGCTCTAACATCCTAGGCATGGTGTCTAGTTGCCGGCATTTTTGACAAGCATTTCAATTAGGTCTAAAGGAAGAACAGAGTTAGAGGCTAATATGTAAAACAGTGAGCTTCTCTTGATCGTCAGCTGGATCCAAAAACAAGGTACTCAATTTCATGTTCAATGTGAATTAAAGCTTTCTGTAAGTCCTCCTTCCACCCAACTACCTGCCCCAATTTTGCTCTTTGGTGACTGTCAACTGAGCTTTGCAAGGGTATTAAAAATAACCACCATATTCACAGATACTATTTAAAGAAGTAACTCCTCTCAAGGATGTTTGCATTTTTAAGGAGTCTCCAAGAAGTTATAATCTCTTTCTTGATGAGAAGAGAAAAGTGATAATATTAAAGGAAGCTACCTTGTCAATTTGTGTTATGCACAAATGCTCAAATAAGATAATAATCACAACCAACATTAACAACATTATTGCTAATTCCTATCACAAACCATAAGAGAAGTAATATCTCCTTTTCACTCAAGAAATCACTGAGGGTTCTTGTGATAAAATGCTTTGTTCCAAGGCCATACATTTAGTAGATACCTAAGTCAGCCTCATATTAGGTTGTTTGGGCTACATAATTCTGGCTCTTTCTATTAGACTGTAATTCATTCTGAAAAAAAAAAATAATAATAGCTTTTCACAGACAAAATACACGTTAGACACCAGCCTTAGAGAGTTCTGGTGACATCCATTCGGCTAAAGTTGTTGGAACTCTCATTATTTTTATGGACGATTAAAGCATTTTACATGTTTCCAGACATTTCTTTAATAAGGTTTAGCACTACTGGGTTGAAAATATGCCATTTTCATTACTGCCCTGAGATTCTCCCTGTGCCCAACTCTTTTTATTTCTGCTACTTTAGTTTCATTTCTATCACCTTTCAAAAAGCAGCGTGTCTCAAATTATTTATATTTGAGGTTATTTACATTATTTTGAACTAACTCCTAAGAAAGGTTATAGATTTTTAGAGAAGTGTAGGAAGTGTGGGAATTTATTTGTGTAATTCTTGCTTGTTGACTGGGGAATGAATTCCCAGGGTTTATCAACCTGTTCTGTCAGTTTGACATTTAGTTTAAAGTATTTGCCACTCAGATTCTCAAGGTACACAATCTCCTTCCTATGTTCATCTCTTGGATATTTTTGGAGAGGATCTTCTAGGTGTGAATTCTAGATGCATTTTCCCAACTATTTTAGTTTTTTTTTAAATTTTTTTCTAGCAAGAACACAATTCTAAAAGTCAAACTTCCAACATGTGTTTTGGAAACTTAGGTAGCAATTTATTAAAACCAAACATTAGTTTTACTCAAAGACATGACTCGAAGGCTTTGGAATTATTCTGAACTTGTAGGTACTCTCGAAGAAGCTACATGGAGAGAGGCCATCATTCATTTGCTCTGAATAAGAGAAATCAATGGTGAATATAAAGCACATATGATGATCTGCCTTGGTGCATTCATTGCATTTGATGATCCTGGGTGTACTTGTTTCGGAGGCATTGCTCTTTACTCTCTGTTCTTCTGTGTTATCAGAGGAAGAGCAGGTACCAAGGATTTTCCTTTCTATCAGCCACACTTTGGCTGTGTTTGGTCAATGGTAGACACAGGCAGAAGCTTGTGGGAGGTGAGGGGTAAGGAGCGAAGAAACCCAGTATTTCTTTCTCTTCTTCTCTGCCAGCAGACTTTTAGACACTGGTTTTGTACTCTCTACAGGGCCAGCTCCTTCATATCTTTCATATCCAGCACCTTCATAATCTCCGCATTGCCACTTCCAGCAGGACACGTCTGCTATGCTTCCGGCTTCCACTCAGTAACCCCAGCCCCTATGCCAGGGAACACTACCTCCTTCCTTTATCTCTCCAGCCTCATACTAGGAGTGGTTTCCTGCTGTTTAAATATCTTAGATTACTCTATTGTGTCTTATTTGCATTTTAAATTCCTCCATCACCTGTATAACCAATTCTCTAAGTGTAGGTACCGGAACTGGTTTGTATTTTTCTAGTTAAACTCTGACTTATATATCTCTATGCACATGTAATTTATCTTGGTGTTAATAATGTTTTTTATTTCAGTGCATTGTAATGGCAACATAGAGGAGTGTGGGGAAATTACAACAACTCTATTACCCAAATGTTGATCTATAATCAATTATTAAGTATGTGCCATTATGTGTGTTTTAATAGAAGAATGTATGTTTTGCTGAAAGAATTTTTTTTACTTGCCATGCTAATCCTTCAGCAACCCTTTCTATTTCTACTTAAGGGAAAGCTTTTGGAAGAAAATAACACGCCAATTTTGGGGTTATTTTCTGCTCAAAATTTTATTTCAGGTACATTACAGATTATAATTTTTTAAATATATTTTAAATTTTAAGCCAGCAGAAATACAGACACCTATGAAATGTTTTCATGGCAGCATCAATTTAAAATTTAAACTAGTACATAAAACCTCTTCACCTACATTCAAAAAATTAATTACTAGTATATTTTGTGAATTTGTACACAGTACAAAAGAAGGTCAAATTTACTTTTACCACATGCAGTTTAAATGTTTAAAAAGGCTAACAAGAGACTCCCAAAGCTTGGTTGGACACTCCTCTCTTAGCCAGAAATACTACTAGTGGGGAAAGCCATTCCTAGCTCTGGTCCCAAATTGTTATCAAACAATGCTGGTTTTCTCCAAATCCTGCTTCTTAAAATTCGTGTTTACACAACTCAGCTGTATTTATAGCTTCCATTACAGACAGATGAAGCCATGTGTCTGAATTTTGACCCGTGGAATGTTGGAGAAAGTATGCCCCTTTTAGTCCTGACCCCTAGAAGCTTCCTGAAATAGTCTCCACTTGTGCTTTTCTTTCATTTTGCCCAAAGCAAAGAATATAATTGGAGAACCGGAGTTCTTAAAGATGGCAAGCTACAAGCTAGAGCTAGGTTCCCAAATGACTGTGTGAAACAGAGTACAGCCCCTCTACTAGCCTCCAAAGGCTGATATGCATGAGATGCTAATGTGTTGGAAAAATTTGCTTTTACTATGTTAAAACACTGAGATTTTAGGATTAGAGTAGCAAGTATTTACCTTCATTAGTGCACAGATAAATTATGCACTGACAGAACAAAATTTCAGAGATATACTGCTAATCTGAGATGTAAATTTCTCCTTTTGGATTCATTTTACTAATTCTTCCATCTTTTCCTCTCCTCTTCCTTCTCATAATTTCCCTGTGTTCATTTTAATATGGAAAAATAACCTCTGTTGAAATATAAATTTAGGAGGGAATGCTGCCAAAGGCTTATCTTATGGAGTGCCTTGAGAATTTCACTTGTATTTTATTTTTCATTGCTATAGCAAGAAACCTTTTTGTTAGGCTTTTGAGGGGTGAAACATCAACAGCAAATAACAGGGATTTGCCCCACCTGTTCTCCAAGCTGGACAAAGAACTCACTCTATATTTCTAGCAACTGGGTCTTTCTAAAATAGGCCATCAATCTCTTCTAGAAAGGATAATCTGCTCCTTTGCAGGAGAAAAGGCATGAAGGATGTCTTTTAATGAGAACCTTAAACAAATATCAAGGGTTGGCAGGACCATGAGGACAAGGCAGGAAAAAGAACAAATAAATGGTTCAGGATATCTGATGACGTTCTAAGGTCAGAGTCATGCTGGAGTCCGTGAACCAAATGAAGCATGCAGGAGGGACTCCATGTTAAGTGCTTAGGACCAGTGCATGGAGTAGGGAACCTGTCTCATACTCATTCTCATGCTTCCCTGTTAGTTGACCAACCACTATTTAAGGACTCACCTCTGATGCCCCAAGACAACTGCACACCTAATGGAGTAGTGAAGGCACAAAATAACCAGTGTTTTGTGAGACTGATAAATCTGTGCCAGTGAGTCTTGAATCTAGATCAGATGGGAGTGGATGCTCCATTACTTAAAAATTGTATGCAGCTTTATGCTAGGCATGGACATGCTACATTCTTATTCATTTCCACCCTTCAATATTCTTAACTGATATGGCTTTGTGTAGATTATCCCAAGTAAAATAGGGAACTCAGGGGCTTTAATAATGCAGCTGCCACTTGGATCAAAACTTTTATAGTTAGTATAAGTTTACCTCCTCTTCTGTGTGGCTTCTTAGATCATGCTGGCTTCAGAATGGCGTCCTCGGAGAGTAGAAAGAACAACATCTTCGGAGTAAAAAATCTCTCTATCTGGTCATTGGGAAATCAACATATCCTTCTTTGAATTTTTCTTCTTCTTTGGGCTACTTACATCATGGAGCTGTGACCCGGTTGAAGTGATCTATGTGAGTGCATCTAGCATGTTGCCTGGCACATGGCAGGAACTCGGGAAATCTAGAGATACTATGCAAGCATAGTTTCCACAAGTAAATGGACGTTTATATTTCTGTATCCAGGGAAACCCAAGGATAACATCTATTTTTCCTAATAAAGGTATAGCCATGCTATTTCCCTCATATCTGCTTGAGCATTTGACTTTCTTCTCTTCATAGTTCCTTTGGGCCTGAAAGCTCCAATAGTAGAAGGGGGATGCAGGACATAGGAAATAAAGGCAGTCATTTTCCTTGGTACGATGAACACCCCACACTTCACACCTTGTCCCAGTACTAGCCCCAGAATGGCAAGGATTTAATTGACCAACTTCTGATCCAGGAACAGCCATTATCTCCTTGAATTTTTACAATCCCAAGGAAAAGGGATTCGAATCTTCATTTGAGAGATGAAGTCTCTGAGTATCAGAGCATAACGTTACTTGACCAACCTCATATAGCAAATCAGAACTTTATCTGGAATTTACAACAAGGACTTTGTTTATCATTTGACTTACATAGTTGATGTAATTTTCTCATTTTCCAAAATACTTTTCTGCTGTAGTAGCAAAGGCAAGCAGAGAGATGGATTTTCTTCCTCCTCCCACATCCCCACCTTGTTCTTTTTGTATCACTGACAGAAAACCAGAACATTATCTTTGTGACACTAGAAGACTTGCAACTCTCTGACACTGAAAGAAACTGAAGCCAGTGCCAGTTTTCCTTATCTTGGTTCAATAATTCCATCCTCAGAGCTATTCACTGCCACTGGCCATCGGAGCTCCTCTGCTTCTACAGAAGAATGACCTCTCATTGCACAGTTACCTTCATCCCAAAACACCAGAGTAATTTCCAGTTAGGATAGTGAATCGTGACCAAGATGTAAATACTAATATGTCAAATCTAAATAACAGCTTCACTGAAGATAAGCATTCTACCTATTTTTCAAAACTTTGGAGTTATTATTCAAAGACCACTACAGTTTATGAACACTTCAGTCTGCCTTATAAGCTATTGGATGAAAAGACACAAAGATGTCCAAATCAAATTTTTTTGTCCCTGGGGACATAATACAAGATAGGGTACACGTAGTGGTCAGAGGAGAGGAATGAACAGTAAGTAAGTATATGAGTAAGTAAGTAAGTACATGAGGTGATGGGAAAGTCTTCCTGAAAGAAGTGAAAACTGAGAAGTGATTGGGATTTGAAAATACAAGAAGGGGCCAGGCGCAGTGGCTCACGCCTGTAATCCCAGCACTTTGGGAGGCCAAGGCAGGCGGATCACGAGGTCAGGAGATCGAGACCATCCTAGCTAACACGGTGAAACCCCGTCTCTAATAAAATACAAAAAAAAATTAGCCGGGCATGGTGGCAGGCGCCTGTAGTCCCAGCCGCCTGTAGTCCCAGCTACTTGCTACTCGGGAGGCTGAGGCAGGAGAATGGCGTGAACCTGGGAGGCGGAGCTTGCAGTGAGCCGAGATGGCGCCACTGCACTCCAGCCTGGGCGACAGAGCGAAACTCTGTCTCAAAAAAAAAAAAAAAAAAAAAAAAAAGAAAGAAAAGAAAACACAAGAAGGGTTAAAAAAAGAATGATCTAGACCTGGAAGAAGAGGATAAACAAAAGCATAGATGAAAAATATGTGCAAGGAATGGTATAGACATTAAGAAAACAAATTTCACCAGAGAATTAAATTGTGAAGAAAGAAAAAAAATAAGTTCATAAGTTACTTTCAGAAGCTTGTACCATGTGGAGTGTTATAGAACAGGACAGGACAATTGGACTTTATCCAATTGACACTGGGGAGTTTCTAGGGGGTTGAAGTAAGAGGCCATGATGTAAGGGATGTTTAAAATAGATTAAAAGGTCAAACAAAGTTAAATGAAAAGAGCAAATTCTAGTATTTGATACTACAATAGAACAATTATAGTTTATAATTTAATGTATGTTTCAAAATAGCTAGAAAATAAATATTGCAACGTTCTCAACCGAAAAAAAAGATAAATGCTTGAGGTGATAGATGCCCCAATTACCCTGAATTGATCATTGCACATTGTATACAGATATCAAAATACCACATATATCCAAAAAGATGTACAACTATAATATAATATATCAATGAAAAAAATATAAAAATAAGTGATCCCCACCCCTGGAAAAAAGTTCAAGGGGGGAGGTTATTCAGGGTAGAAAAACAATTGTTAGAAATAATTCAATTGTCCAATAAAAATCGTTGGATACCTGGAAAAAAAAAAGGAATGAAAGAGTAAAAACAACACATATCAAAAAACAACATAGTTGGATCTAAAATAGTAGAAAGAAACATCACCTGGAATAAATGGCTGAAGGATTTTGCCAGTGGTTCTCAAACTTGAGTATGTGTCAGAATTTTCTGAAGAGTTTGTTAAAACACAGATTTCTGGGTTTGAACTCCAGAGTCTGTCCTTATGGTATAGAATGACAGGCAGGCCAGGCGCAGTGGCTCACACCTGTAATCCCAGCACTCTGGGAGGCTGAGGAAGGCAGATCACTTGAGATCAGGAGTTTGAGACCAGCCTGGCCAACATGGGGTACAACCCTGTCTCTACTAAAAATACAAAAATTAGTCGGGCATGGTGGCACATGCCTGTAGTCCCAGCTACTTGGGAGGCTGAGGCAGAAGAATGGCTTGAACCCTGGAGGGGGAGGTTGCAGTGAGCTGAGATCACGCCATTGCACTCCAGTCTGGGTGACAGAGCGAGACTCAATCTCAAAAAAAAAAAAAAATCAGGGCAGAGACATTCTTAAGAGTCCCTAGAAGGTGGGATTATGTACCTGATGCTCAACGTCGAGCACCATATTGTATACATTTCATTTCCCATGGTCAGAGTAGGTGGGCAGTAAAGGCAGGAGATATTGTATTCCTGCATATTAAATCTCACTTGTCATTTGAACATATAATACCATAAACATGTTTCTTTTCCCAAACACCAATAGCTGCACCCAGGCTCTATTTCTGAGGCCAGAACAACAATTTAACAATCACATCACCCAGCAGTGATATGCTATGCATTTTCTGAAATTATCCAAAATGAGAACTCCTGGGATCCATAACTCAGCTCTCCCCTTCCCACATGTGCATGATTTCCTTCACCTCCTATTATGCTCTTTGGACCTGTAGTCACGCAAATGACATAAATGAACAGCTGCATTCAGCCAACCAGATGGTCACATGTGGGAAGAGATGGGATGGAGACAATAGAAGTAATAGCCTATAAAGTAAGTTAGTGCTACTGAAATTCTACTTTTTTTTCTATTAAAACCGAGTGGAAGGTTAATTATTTCCATCCGTATTCAGTTAACAGAGGGAATTAATCTCAAAGGCACAGTAAGAAATTTTCAGCAAAATTTCACAACTGCTTATCCCAAAATAGGAGAGGAGAGTGATTGAATGTTTGTTGGAAAGCATGATGGAAGCAATGAACAGGCTTATGTAAAACTCTGCTTGCTTGAGATATATAGCTAAATTGGTAGGTGGTTGGGGAAGAGAACAAGAAAGGAATCCATTCACTTTTTTGAATTAATATTGAACCCTGATGAAACAAAGGATGGTCTTTTGCTTCCTAGGTGCTGTTCTTCTCTAAAATCCAAGCTATTTGAAATGACGATATAAACTTTTCTCAGTTCACAACAAAATGTATGTTTAACATGGGTCACATTTAAAGATGCTATGGACACTCATATTTTGTAGACATAGGAATATTTATAATCTTTCTAAATTTTTCATAATCATGTTTTTACCTTTCTCTTTCAAAAAGTCCTTTCTCGGAGCAGGTTATATGTATATAACAATCCTCATTCATAATAGCACATTTAGTCATATTTCTATATCTGTGGAGAGAGAGAAATGTGTTCTTATTGTGATGGGTACTACTGCTTTGCAATTTATAGATTTACTTGCCGAAGAACCATAAAGCTTATAAATGGCAATTAAAACTCCGGATGAGGGTATTTTACCCATACCTTCATTAATATAAAAAACAATATTGTTCTATTGACTCTGTATTCTTTACAGAAGCCTCTAGGGCCCAGATCTTTTGTAAGTAGTTACATAAAATAAAAAGAATGTTATATTCCATTGTATATTAGTACTTAAAAAATAATGAGACACAGGACATAAACCCATTTTATTTTTTTTTGCAGTTCTATTAAAAAATAAACATTTGACTTCATTATTAGAAATCAAAAGAAAATATTTTCAGTAAAATTAACTGAATAATAAAACTGTGAAAAAATTTAAAATATGAAAAAAAGAGAGGCTGGATGCAGTGGCTCATGTTTTTAACCCCAACACTTTGGGAGGCTGAGGCAGACAGATTGCTTGACCCCAGGAGTTCAAGACCAGCCTGGGCAATATGGTAAAACTCCATTTCTATAAAAAATACAAAAAATTAGCCAGGCATGGTGGCACATACCTGTAGTCCCAGCTACTCGGGAGGCTGAGGTAGGAGGTTCACTTGAGCCCGGGGAGGTCAAGGCTGCAGTGAGCCATAATCATGCTACTGCACTTCAGCCTGGGTGACAGTGTGAGATCCTGTCCCCAGCCCACCCCACCCCAAAAAAGGACAAGAACCAAATGCTTAACCTTGATTTTATTACATATAAATATTTTGATTTTTTTTCTGGTTATAAAAGTGAAGCATGCATATTTGTAGACAACTTGGTAAAGAGCCAAGCGTATAAAGAAAAAAATTTTTTAAAAAACCATTATTCTAAGGAAAATCAGTATTAATATTTTGCTATATTTTTTCTAGTCACTTCTTTGTACATTAAACATATATATAGTTATATATGTATGTACTAAAAATATCCTATATTTGAAATAGTCAATGCTCCTTTGAAAAATGCACTATTATATATTATTCCCTTTTCCATAATATTTACATTTTTCAGTCACAGAGTATGAATTATTCCCTAATCTAAAGTCATATATATCAATATGAAATTTAGTTGCTACTAATAATGATGTGATAAACTTATCTCCTATTATTGGACTTCTCCTATATTTTTGCACTGTGATGAGGTGGACAGAAATTTGGCAAGCAACTAAGCAGCCAGAGCTAAACTGGACTTTTTAGTTGATTTTATAGAGGATGGAAGAGTCAAGCATTCATTCATTCAAATAGTTTTTAATAAATACTTTTTTTAGGCACCATTCTATGGGGGATATTTCAGTAGACAAAACATATAAAAGTCTCTGGCTTCATTAAGCTTGGATCCCAGTGTTGCCATTTATTAAGATAGAGAAAAGTCAAATAGAAAGTGTTTTGTGGGTTTTAGGTGGGAGGTTGGAGTTGTGAAAAATTCTGCTTCGAACACATTGAGTTTGAGGTGCCCCTGAGGTATCCAACTGAAGGAGCTCAGAAAATAAGTCTGGGCTAGAGATATTGGTTTGGGACTTGTCAGCATACAGATGGGAATTAATACCATGAGAATAGATATAATCATCCAGAGAAAAAGGCTGACCGAGAACTACTGAGAATGTAGGACTTACACCCATGGAGCACCAACATTTTAAAAAGAGATATTTGCAAAGAATATGAGAAGAGAAAAGAGGGAAATGAGACTCCTAAAGTTATGGAGACAAGGAGCCAAGATGAGGAGTGGGTGTATTGGCAGAAAAAAAAAGAAAAGAAAAGAGAGAGTGGTAACATTTTTTTGAGAAATCAATAAATATAAAGACTAAGTGCACATTTAGAAACATGAAGTTCATTACTAACAGGGATTAGAAATACAACCCTACTCTGAAGGCTATATACTTCTCTGCCATCTTTCCTCCATAGTTCTCACTTCGTTTTAGCCACTTCCTTCTGTGGCCATACCTTGTAATTTGTTCTTTTTGCTGTGCCGCTCCTGAAATCAGATATTATAGTCTGAGATCATCAGCATCATTTCTCCCATTTCACTCCCTCAAATGCTTCCAATACACAAATGTATTTGACATTACACCCCTTGAAGCACCAATCTCTTTTCTTTGTATCCATTAGCATTTTCTGTTCTACAGTCCAACACTCTCCCAAGAACATTGATCAACCTTTACCCAATAAACCAGGAATACCTTAGGGGCAATGGTCATGTGACAATACTCTTGCACTTGTGAACAAATGGAAATGGGAGATTCAGCATAAAAACAAGATGCATTCGTTTAAGACTTTTGTTTTAATAAGTGGGAGATGAGTTTTAGCAATCTCTTAACAGCAAAACCCAGTAGGAGGCACTGCTACAATTCCATAGTGGATTTAATTGAATACTGATTAGAAACTCTCAACTCTTTTGTGATGTCCATTAAAAAAAGCCCATCCAAGTACCTGATATTATCACTTATCCAATGAATTCATGTCATTTAGAAATTTCCTGGAGGAGACTGGTTGGACCTATGGAAGACAGAATGACTGGGCTAAATGGCTTTTGTCTTGGTTTGGGTTCCCTCAAAATCATGGGATAAGGGTTCATGTGCAGTGGTTTATTGATATGTGATACCACGGGGGAGGGGGGGCGGTGGGAAACAGTAAGGAAAAAGGGAGTGGAACAGGAAAAGAAAGGCAGCCAGTTATATGCCAATTAACCCTTTGAGTAACTGGAGCTTAATCCTGCAGGATTCATTGTAGAATATGCGACTCAGAGTTACCTCTACTTCCCACTAATCCCCAGGTAGGAGCTGGAGTATTTGTACCTACTAATAATGATCCTCAGTTAGCACAGTGCCCTTGTGGGAAGAAACACAGAAAACCCTCAGGAAGGAAGTCCTGCGTTACAATATGAAAGCAGCCTCTGCTCCAGCCTGTTCTGATGCCCTCTTCTCCAAAGATGCCCTGATAGCTCTAACATTCTATCTCCAAGGTATAGGATTCTGTAGAAATGTATGGACCCCTACTTGGGGAAAGGATTTTGTTTAAAAATTGTTTTATAGATTTGAAGAATTATATTCAAAGCATTTCTATTTATTATTCAGGAGACTCTTTTTTGATTGAATTTCATTTAAATAAACCAGTATGGGAAATGTCTGGTTTGTCTAATCATATAACCCAGTAGAAAGAGATAGTTCCACAATGCACAGATGGCTCAATAAGCCCTAACTTGAAGGAAAGTTCGATCTTGTTCTCCTAATTTTATTCTTCTTACCTTTCTCCTTAGTCAACATAGGCTGGCTTCATTTCAGCATGCAAATTAATCTCCAAATCCCAATGCCTTACCCACAACAAAGGGTTATTTTTCAATCATACTGTATGTCTACATAGTGGCACCATAAACATCTCTGCTCCACATTGTCATTCAAGGACCCAGGCTAACAGAGAGTTCATCTTCTCATAGCTACACCTCATGCAAGAGGCAGCCTCTTTTGTCACCGCAGTAAGGGAAAGAAGTATGAAGAATGTTGGATATAAAAATGCTCTAGGAATAAATGCTCAGTGACACAAAGTAAAACCAGCACTCAGGCAAAAGTTTAATTCTCTCAGCAAGGCAATTTACTTCTGCAGAAGGGTGCTACCTGCATTAATCAAGATTGCAAGAGCACAGAGAACAAAGAAGACCAGGGGTTTTTTATCCTTAATGCAGTCCCTATCTCTGTGTGACTCCCCCATGGGCTGGGGTTGGACCGCACAATCTGAGCTGACCCGATTGGCTACTTGTACATATTTTCCTAAATATAGAAGGGAAGGGGGACGTGAGGTACAGAGGTGGTGCATGTGAGACATGCAGTTTCGGGGGAACAATGGGTACAGGTAACCAAGGGAACAGATGTGAGTTATTGATTAGAGCTGATGGGAAGCGGGTAGGCTGTTTATGGTAACTAGGGGCAAGGAAGAATAAGAAAGTTGAGTTTGAGAACAAAGGATAAGGAAGTTAACTGGCTAAACTCTTTGAATATAAACTCAGAAAGATTTATTGTATCTTACAAGAATCACATGAGTTTTCACTGTCTCAATTCAATAATGACAAATCATGTCTGCCCACATTGGCCAGAACTATTTACATTGCAAAACCTAGCTGCAAGGTGCTGAGGAATGTAGGGTACAAAGAGTATAGATGATAAGCATTATTGTTTCAGCCATACCTACCAAATAGAAAAGACTTCAAAGATCATCCAGGCCAAAGATTTTCCAGTTGTGCATGCCAGGAGCTCTATTGCTCCCAGCATTCATTAGGGATTCTTGAAGGTGAAAAAGTTATTCTGCCCCCTCCCGCATGTTAATCAGAAAAGCTTTTCTTCATTTTTCCCCCATATTGATGTTCCTTATACAATTTTGTTTGAAGAAAGGATTTTGTTGCTTTTTTAAAAAAACATACTTTTGGACTACGCCAAATGTAGTCTAACTTTTTCATTTTAAAGGTAAGAAAAATAAAGCCCCAGTGATATATCTTTTTTAAGGTCATGCAGCTGGTTAGTAGAAAACGTTGTATCAGAACGTTGCTAGGACATTGTCTACGATGACGTCATGCCTCTACAATCTCCTCATTGTTGGGAAAACCTGTTTCTAAGAAGTTTGTCAGGAGTATCTGGAAAAGCTTAAGCCCAATGTGATTTGAAAAAAGAAAAAAAAATGAAAGAAGAAAACAATCGAGACAGAGGCACATGGCGGGAGGGAACAAGCTTTGGCAAAGTGAAAAACGGGATAAAGAAGGAGTCAGAGAGAAGCGCAGGAGGTGTGAAAAGGCTGTGAGCCCAGATGAGAGAGCCACGCTGTCTAGACTCCAGATGTGAGTACATGGTTTCAGTGAGTCCAGCTCTGGACTCTGTAAACACTTTCCCCAGATGTCGTGGCTGAGCTACAAATCCTTGGACGGGTGACAGAATTGGCTGTTGTTCTGTTCAGTGTGTGACTGGTCATGCTGCAGGCTGCTCTGAGGTTACAACACCAGATAACAAGACTGCCTTACAATCAGTCTTGGATGACCTTGAAGAAGTGAGGCATAGCACTGAGCCCTCTTGAGTGCCTCCAGAGACAAGTCGGTAGAGCCCAGGCTCTCAGGTATAGCCACCCACCCAACCTGGCTGGAGATCAACCTGACCCCCAAAAGGCAAAATAATAGTGAGAAGCTGAGTAAATAAAGTAGAAATAGGCTACTGTTTGCTAGCAACAGCATTTTGGGTAAATTGCCATATCTTTCTGGGATTCTCTTTCCTCTGAGGGATTTAATCAAATGGTTTCTAAGTTCCATTTGAACATTGACACTATATAATCCTATAAAATGACACCATGAAGAAAGGATAAACAAGAAAGTCATGTCTCTTCCAAGATTTTATGATAGAACATAAAAAAGCAAAACATTCTGCTTTGTTAAACAAACTTGGTAAATACTTGGATTTGCTCTCTGCAAGTCAGCAGCCTCCAGAACCTGGCAATGAGTTGAATGCATGAGAGCTAAGACGGAACAGCTCTGAGGATACAGAAGAGTTCTAGAAAAAGGAAACTATCAAAGGGCTGGCCATAGGCAGTAATTTAGAAATCAACAGAATTTATGTTTCTTAGTCTTCCACTCTCACATTCATTCACTAAACCAATACTTAGCATGGGCTATATGCTATGGCCTAGGGATTTAATGGTAAGGGAAATAGCTCAGTCTTCATTCTTACAAGACTCACAGTATAATGGTGGATGCCAACAATTAAACAAAGCTAAAATAGAGTGTGACAAGGATGATCATGGGGATGAGATGTAGGGGCTGGGGATGGGGAAGGTATCCAGACCAGACTTGGAAGACCGAGATCCTGGAAGAAGTACATTTTAAGTTGAGTCCCATCGGAAAGATGAGAAACAGTAAGTCGACTGTGCGTGGTGCCTCATGCCTGTAATCCCAGCACTTTGGGAGGCTGAGGCAGGTGGATCACCTGAGGTCAGGAGTTCAAGACCAGTCTGACCAACATGGAGAAACCCTGTCTCTACTAAAAATACAAAATTAGTCTGGCGTGATGGCACATGCCTATAATCCCAGCTACTCAGGAGGCTGAGGCAGGAGAATCACTTGAACCCCAGAGGCGGAGGTTGCAGTGAGCTGATATTGTGCCATTGCACTCCAGCCTGGGCAACAAGAGTGAAACTCCATCTCAAAAAAAAAAAAAAAAAAAAGTAAGTCAAACAGAGAAGAAAACTTCTAGGCAACCACTTGAGATACGTTGAGGAAGCTGAAAGTAGTGCATATGGCTCTGCCACTTATTGCCTGTGTCACCATGAGCATGCTATTTAACTTCTCTGTGCCTCAACTTCCTTATCTGGAAAATGGACCAATAATAGGTTGCACAGAGGATTGTTTTTAACATTAATTGAGATGGTACCTACTACAGAGCCTACCATGTAGGAGGTACCCAAGAAATGATATCAAATTATCATATTATGGTTTGGGGTTTAGAAAGAACAACACAAAAGTCAACATGTTGCCCAAGTTTTTAGCTTTAGCACTTGGTTAAATGGTGTTGCCATTCACTCATTTAAGGAATATAGGAAGAAAAGGCAGATGAGGAAGAAGTAAGTTAGTGAGACAGTAAATTCAATTCTGGATGTATGGAGTTGAAGGCAAATGTGCAAGCAGCAGATGGAGTGTACAGTAAGTGGCTTAATATACAAATCCAGAGTAAAGGAGAGAGATCTGGGTGGAAGATGTCAACACATATATGTCAAGCTGACTGTAAGGGGCACAAAAATGACGCCTTCCATTTCTCCTTCAGTGTCATATTTTGTCCTTCTGAAAAACTTTTTTTTCTTTGATCCACACCCATAGCTGTCAACAAGTAAATTATTCGCTGAATTGGAAACATTAAGAAAACTAAATTTTTTTTTTTTTTTTTTTTGCTTTTTCTTTTTTTTGAGACAGAGTCTTGCTCTGTTGCCAGGCTGCAGTGCAGTGGCACAATCTCAGCTTACTGCAACCTCCGCCTCCCGGGTTCAAGTGATTCTCCTGCCTCAGCCTCCTGAGTAGCTGAGACTACAGGGACGTGCCACTATGCCCAGCTAATTAAATTTTTTTAAGACTGTAAGAAACAGCACCAATAAATAGGTTTTTGAAACCTGACAGTCAAGTGAAGTTGAACTATTGGGCCAACTTGGCCAAGCCACACAGATAGCCACAGGCTCCTAAGGCATATATATATATACATATATATATATTTTCCCCTAAACATGCATTATTTTCTGAAATGGTAAGGGTGGTAGATTAATAGGAGCCATCAGACAATATCTGCTGAAGTGAAGACTTTAGATTTTTCCTGACATTTCTTCCTATCCAATAAATCAAATTAGCTACAAAACATCATCAGTGTAGCAGATCTGCGTGCCTCTTCTTTCTGTTTTTCATTTCAAACTAATATAATATAAAATAATTAATGGCTTTCTAAGCATTTTCCAGATCAAAAACACATACATGAGAAAATTGTCATTTTTAAGAGGAAGAAAACAACTTTATTTAACATAAAACTTATTGAAAAATTCAAAGGCTGCCAACTGGGCAGGAAATTAAGGTGAGGTCTCTGAAAAGTGTCTCTGCTCATCAACAGGAGGGAACAGCAGGAGGCCTGGCGGCTGTTTCCTAGACGCTTTCCACGTGAAGTCCTCGTTTTGTAAGGCTATAAACTGTCCCAGATAGTATCTCCTTCCCTCCCATCAAGTCTAAAACTACCAAGCCTCGACTCTAGAATTAAATTCTCATCCTAGCAGGCCTTCTTTTCTGCCATTTTCTATGCCCTTGGACGTCCTGGAATCCCAAATTCTGGTTTACAATTCACTTTCATTTAACCATTGAGCTCTCTGTCATAGGTGCTGGGAAATTAGTGGCAAGAGAAAGCTCAGGCTTAGAGAAATATATATATTTTCAAATGGAAATGGGAGTGAGGGATGCAAGAGCCTTTGAAGATTATTTAATTAATGTTGACTCTGAAATGTAATCCAGCACTCTATCTAGGACAACTCTCCCACCACTCATGATGTAACCCTTATATTGAAGCTGCTGCTACCATTTCTGCTTTAAAAGGCAGGAGATTTTGTGTTAGAAAGTGAAGTATGTGGTATCCCCCCACCTACTCTCTCTCTTGCTCCTACTCTGGCCATGTGATGTACCTGCTCCCACTTTGCCTTCCACCATAAGTAAAAGCTCCTTGAAGCCTCCCCAGAAGTTGAGCAAATGTGGGCACCATGCTTGTACAGCCTGCAGAACTGCGAGCCAATTAAACCTCTTTTGTTTATAAATTACCCAGGCTCACGTATTTCTTTATAGCAATGCAAGAAAAACCCAATTAACTGGTTCTATCTTTTTTTTGAGACGGAGTCTCACTCTGTCACCCAGGCTGGAGTGCAGTGGCGTGATCTTGGCTCACTGCAAGCTCCGCCTCCCGGGCTCACCCCATTCTCCTGCCTCAGCCTCCTGAGCAGCTGGCACTACAGGCGCCCGCCACCACGCCCAGCTAATTTTTTTGTAGTTTTAGTAGAGATGGGGTTTCACCGTGTTAGCCAGGATGGTCTCGATCTCCTGACCTCGTGATCCGCCTGCCTCGGCCTCCCAAAGTGCTGGGATTACAGGCGTGAGCCACTGCACCCGGCCTGGTTGTATCTTTAATACCAGTTTGAAATCAAGCAAATCATTAACAGGACTTTAAAGTTCAATTCGCCCCTCTAAAAAAAAAAAAAAATGCCGAGCCAGATGTTTCTGTGTTCTGGCATCATTTTATTCATATCTCTGTTTTAGAAATTCTCCACTTTGTCATAATCTGTTCAGGCTTCTGCAGCAAAATACCAGTATAAGGGTCCAATCCAGAGTGAATGAGGCTAACATAGAAAATCTCCATGAAAAAGAGACAGCAGAAACAAGTAGAAAAATTAGAACTGTGATCTTGGAATATCTAAAAGAAATAAGAAAATGAGTCTATTGAACTTGATGGTTAAAGAGAAAATAAAAAACATAATGGAAGAATATGATTTTATGGAGAAAAAGTGGATTTATAAAATATCCAAGTAGAACTACTAGTCATTGAAATAAAAATCAATGGGAAGTATAAAGAAGAGAAAGACAATTGCAGAGAGAATTAATGAAATGGATGATAGATATGAGGAAATTACACAGAATACTATAGCTAACATTAATAATAATCATAATCATAAACAGCAAAGAGGGCTCAAAAGATACAGATGATAGAATGAGAATAACTAAAATACAAAGAATAGGTTTTCCAGAAAAAGTGGTTGGAAAAAAATGGTGCAAACACATTATTCAAAACATTAATGGCTGAGATTTGTTTGGCATTGAAAAACATCATGAGTTCTCAAATTGAAGAAGCACACTGAGAAAGGCTAAAAAACAATTCTGCATTTAGACAGTAATAAAACTAAAGGAACCAAAATCTTAAGAAATTTTAAAAGCAACCAGAGAAATGTGGCAGGTCCCTTATAATAAACACAAATTTGCAACAAAGAAGTCAAAAGGCATAATGAGATTTATCAAAAAACTGAGAGAAATAACTATAAACTTAAATTTTAACACCAGCCAAACTATTACAAAAAGTAAAAAAAAAAAGTTGGAAAATAAATTGAGATAATTTATCATCCACAAACCTTTGTTATAAAAACCACAGAAATATAAATATCATTTGGAGAAAAGTTCAAATGAAAGGAGGCAATGAAATCAAGAACCTAGAGTGTCCAAAGAAACTGAGAGACAAACTAAGGAAGCATTGGTTCTAAAAAGCCATAATAATTAACATAAATAATTTTGGTATGGTACAAATAAAACCCAAAAATAGTAATCATAAAATGGAAAATGGAAGGTTTAAGGCATTCTAATGTCATTGTTTTTGTAGGAGTATTAAAGATAAATTATTTAACTTTAAACACTTTTAAATTTAAAATGCCATAAGAAAATTGAAAGAGAATACATATATGCATAACTTTATCTCAGTACAAAAAGAGTGAAAGGAAGGAAGGAAGGAAATATAGTTCAGTCAATCCAATAAAATGCGTAAGAGTAAAGCAAAGGAAAATATTTAAACATCCCAAATATATAGTAGTCTCAATAAAATTAAATAGATTTAAATTGCTTGTTGTTTTGGCCAGTGACCAAAATATAAAATAAAATCCAGCTATATGCTATGAGACACTTAGGATATAAGTACACAAATGCTTTGAAAATTAAAGGATAAAAAATACATCTGAGAAAATATTGTCAAAAATAAAGCTTGCTTAGCCATGTTAATAGCAGATAAAAAAAGTCTCTAGAAAAAAAAAATCACATAAGGAAAAGATAATCATTACATAATAATGGAAATAAATTGTAAGAGTTATGTAGCAAATGTAAGTTATTTTTGGCACATAGCAATCTAACTTTATATAAATCAAAGATTAATAAAATTGTAATGAGAAACTAATAAATGCAAAGTGAAAACTGTTGACTCAAATTCACACAAAAAAATTAGGAAACAAATAAAACTAAAAATTCTAAAAAAAAAAAGAAAAAAAAATGGGTGAGCATAGTGGCTCATGCTTGTAATCCAAACACTTTGGGAGGCTGAGGTAGGAGGATCACTTGAAGCCAGGAGTTGGAGACCAGCCTGGGCAACATACAAAACATCTTCTCCACAAAAAAATAAAAAACTTAGCCTCATAGTGTTACATGCTGTAGTCTCAGATACTGGAGAGGCTGAGGTGGGATGACTGCTTGATCCCAGGAATTTGAGGCTGCAGTGAGCTATGATTGTGCCACTATACTCCAGCCTGGGTGACAGAGTGAGATCTCCTCTCTAAAATAATTTTTTTAAAAGAAAAAAAAGAAGTAAGAATATACAAGATTTGAACAACAAAGCAATAAGCTAGATAAATGGATATATATTGAACTCTCTAATCACTAAGATTATACAATCTTATCCACCATACCTTGAACAGTTTTTAATTAATCATGTACTGGGTCGCAAAAGACTCAACAAATAACAAAAAATTATATAGTAGAGACCATGTTTTTGGATTATGCCATGAAATTGGTATTAAACTATTAAAGATAGCCACAAAGTTACATATTTGAACATTTATAAATTTTATTTGTAAATAATTCTTGGGTCAAAGAGGCTATAATAGAATTTGCACAGTATCTAGAAAGGAATGTGAAATATCACAGAGCAAAACTTTGTAACGCTGCTAATATGGTATTGGCATGTAAATGTATGGCTGACCTGTATAGATTTATGTAAATGAGTTCCAGTGCCTTCTGGCTTCATGATGGTGCCACAGCAGGGAATCAGGTGGAGTTAGGAAAGTGATGTTCGTGGGTTTATTCTCCTGGCATCCTCTCCAAGTGGTTGCCTCCAGATGGCTATGTCCGGCTAACAGTTTATTCTGAGTTCTAGTAACTGCACTCTTCCCTCATCTCTGGGCCTAAAGGTGAACTACCCAGCTGTGACCAGCCCTCGGTTACTGTGCTATCTCTGGTGGTTCCCCCATACTCACATCTTTGTAAGCTGTCATTTTATAAATAAACCCTCCTCAAATTATGCTGTTTTGAGAGTGCCATCTGTTTTCTGTTGAGACCTAATTTAAAAGACTTGTGCTATCTTGGAGAAAGGGAGGGAGAAAAGTAAGGGTAAAAATGGTGTCACTTTTCTGGTCTCACTGTGATCCGGACATTGGCATAATCTGGATGTGGCAGATGTGCAATTGCTTCTTTTCTTTCCCAGGACACACTTATGGGTTCTCCAGAGACTCCCTATCCTGGAGGTTCCTCACCACAACCTTGGCCATGGTCAAGGCATCTCTCCTGCAGGTCACCATTTGGCTACCTTTGACCCCCCTCAGACTCTGTGCTTCTGACAGATGGACAACTTCTCTGCCTTTCAGAGGAGAGAGAAGGAAGAGAAGGAAACATAATCAGATGGATGCAGAGGGGCATTTCAATGGGGTGTGTAAGATTTTATTTTTATATTTTTTAAAACATGTTTATCAAGATTACAAAATATTAGCATTAATAGTAATGTGTTGAATTTGGATGGAGAATATAGGGATGTCATATTATTTTAAGTATATTTGCAAACATTTACTACTTAGGAAAATGATAATTTTTGAAAGGAGGTAAGTGGCAAAGTATATGAGTCTCTCAAACAGGATCTGCAACACAAGGATTGAGCATCTTTCTGTGGCATCCTATTCCCACTCCATCCCATGACTCCACTGATTCCGCCTTGCAGATTTCAGATTCCAGTATGCTCTGACCATTGCAGCCCAAATATCCCTTGCCAGTTTGCCAAATGAGTCCTTTCCAAGTGTTTTCGGTTGGGATCAGGATGGGAATGGAGGAGAGGAAGGTGGGAAAGGATTATAGAATTTCTTTAAAAGTCTGAGCCACAGATTTAGTCACTCTTTAATCTCATAGGTAGTCCTCCAGCTACTGCTGTCTCTCTTCTCTGCTCTGATTTCTTTTTCCTTAATCTGGTAATCTTCACCACAGCAGCCATTGTTCCTCCCTAGGGAACTTCAACTCCTCTTCATTTCCTTATCTCAGCCAAACCACGCCCTACTTCTCTTTAATTTAGGAAAGCCAGAAGCAGTGGGATGTATAAGTGCTGCCTTCAGGCTCCAATAACAGAATATAGAAATTGTACTAGGAATGTTTGAAGGTTGAATAAAAGGCTACCACCAGGTTGAGAGAAGACAACCTTGTAACAGTTTACATAATTTGCTCCAAGATTCTTCCGCATTACAGAGACTGTCACGGACTGGAATCATACCTTTAAACTTGGCACCTAATTCTGGGCTGTACCGTCAACAGACTCCAATTTTCCCTTGACCATCAGTCAGGATCTGTTTGTTTGTACGTATTTGCATCAGATTATATGATATACAGAAGAGTAGAATGTTCAAGTATTTCAATTTGCAGATAAAGAAATTGAAGTCTCAGTAGAGGCAGGTCAGAGTTTAAGACTTGTGTTTCTCTCTGACTGCAGGTTCAGTGCTTTTTCTAATTATTGAGTAAGATATGTAGATAACTTTAAAAGGATGTCATGATTTTTATAGTTCAAAAGCATAATATCCCTTTAAACTAACGCTGGGAAATGGGGAACCATTGATCCAAGTTATACAAACATTTTCACTTGTTAGATTATTAATTTGTCAGAAATTTCTGAGAACCTGTTATCTTCAGACACTGAAGTCCACAGGGGTCATAATAGCTCTTTGAAGGAGCCATGGTGCATCTGCCCACGATAGGTGAATTTATATAATGGAAGTAGTTATTTTAGTCACTGCCCATAGGTTTAATTTAACCATTTATTTTTATGAGCACATTGTAATATTCTACCACCCTCTTGGAGGACAATGTTGGTTCAACATCTCGGTGCTCTGATGCTATCTGGGACACCTTCCAGTTGATGGTCTGGTAGTAAATTTTTGAAGAGTTGGCATTGGCTTCTAAAGTCCTTCCTCTAAAGTAGTCAAATACTTCTTTGTATACAGGTTGGGGATTCCTTGAAAATCAATCATGTATGTCACCCTTTCTAGACGCTCAGTAGTTACCAAGAGCATCAAAAGAAAGATGATGCCTGACTGCAGTGCACTGGCCATTACAGAGAAGTAATGTTTTTCAAACAGTCGCCATTCCTTCCTACCCATGCACTGAAGTAGAGAAAAACAAAACCAACCAACATGCATCCCTAGCAGAGGGTCCTGGACAAATCTTGGGCTAATGATGGCCAAATTTATGTGTAAACACAAGAGCAGAAAGGAGATTCAGAAACTAAAGAAGGAGAAAGATGCTGAAGAAGAAACTTAGGCCTTTCTTTTGCCTCTGGAAGGAATACTTACCTATCACTATCACTGTTACACTTACCTATTTTGCCCTCAAAGCTCTACCATATCAAGTGCCTTCCATTTGCATAATACTCTTACTTTTGAAGGCACTTGCCAGTGCATTATTGCCATTTGGTTCTCTAGAAATCCCATAACATTGGCAATGAAATTGAGGCTTGTCAAAGGCAGGCATATCTCAATAATAGGACCAAAAGCCTAATCCAAAAGCTTCTGGAACAATGCAGGTAGAAGCTTAGAAAGTTTGAAAGTGAAGTGAAAAGGGAAGACCAGAGTTGTTCCACTCTTGATACAACACTCTTCTTGTAGAGCCATAATAACCCAGTTTTAGTCTAGACTATGGCATGAGGCAGATATAAGGGAACAGGTACAGATGATTTTGGAAAGTAATTCTGAAGATTTAAGAAAAATCATTGCAATACTAATGGTTACTTAAGGTAGTCTTGATAAATAATAAAATTTGGTCCTGATAATGACTCAAAAAAGCATCCACATGCATTTCTTCCGTTGATTAACTGATTGAAAGCTGCTTTTAGCAGAGGAGTCTCTAATGAGATATACATTTCAGGCACTGGAGCTTCCTACCAGACTTGCCAAGGCAAAATGTGTTCAACTTTTTTCTTTACTAAGCATTCAATCTCTGTATCCTAAGAAAACACCCATAGCCCCTGTCTGATAGCAATTTGCACAGTGCCCACCTTGCTAGGACTTCTGATCATTAGATCTACAGTCTTTGATGATTTGGCCTGAAGGTCTCTCAAGCTTTTCTTGACTTTCCACCCCCAATGTCAAGCCATATTCTAGAACATGCTGACCACTCGCTATCATTACTCTTTTTAAATCTCCCATATCTAAATTGGCCTCACATCCCATCCCCAGCTTTTGTGATTGATACCATATGAGTTAATGATGACATAGCCAGCTATTTCCTGCGAGACTATGGATACTAACCTAATCTTCTTCCTTAGAATTTTTGGTGATGACTTCTGCAGAAAAGGGAAGGGGGATTAATAAAATGTATTGCACATCACTGTTAAACCATACTCTTGATTAGGTACTCTTCACATTTAATCCTAGCAACAGTTGGTTGGGTTGCCTGTTAATATACCATTTTGCATATGAGGAAACTAAGGCTCACATTGCTTAGTAACTTCTCCTCTGTTGCATGGCTACTACTATCAGGTGAGCAGGACTCACCAAAGTCAAACCATTGCAGTTTGCTAACATGAACATAGTTTAATCATAAAATAATTATTTCGCACCCTCATGTAACTAGTGCTTTAAGTTTTGGCTGAAGAATAATAAAAAGAAGGTGCAATTCTCCCACATCTTCGAGTTATGCTGAACACATAATAACATTTACAGGAACAAATTGGTCCCAGAAGCCTCACAAACAACTCCTCCCTTTCGTTTCACTACCGACTTCAATCTTCTTTCCCAGAGTCTCTGGGTTCAGTGCCTTCTGACCCACTTTGCCTTGTATTCAGATTAGTATGATCAGTACATTGAGGCCTCATTTTAGTTACAATAATCTCTCCCTGCATTGATAAGTCTGTACTAATGCCTGTGAATGTAATTTTCCTTAGACTTTTGCAATAACATAATGTAACCTACATATCACCTTTTTGGGTTCTCTCAAGACTTTTAAGTACTTTAAAATGTAAGAAATATTGGCTTAAATCTCAAACTCACATAAAATGGGACACCCAGCATCCCAGCTACTATCACTGAGAATTATGTGGAGAAGTTATATTTCTCCTAATTACCTGGTTTTGCATTCTGCTTCTGTTCTTGGTCTCCACAACTGACTTCTTCAACACTTTCTTCCCTTCCAACTCTCTGTCTTATCACTGGAAAAAGCCGTGATCTATCTTATCACTGGAAAATGCCTTCAATTCTCCAAGTACCACTGGCCTAAAGATGAGCGTGCAGCAGGTATTACTGAAGGCCTAGGGCTACACAATGTTGCCACATGGCAGAACAATCAAGAAAGCTACTTGTTCTTTAAAATCCTTTGCCAATCCTACATCCTTGCTTCTAGGGAATGTTCATTATCGTCCTCATCTTCTTGGCTTCAACCACGATGTTCTTATCCTCCTTTCCCTACTATGACTTCCTGTCTTTGCCTTTCTATTTTTCTGAAGTTTATATTTCCACAACCAAAATGGCCCCACTTTCATTAACATAGGGAACATCTGTGCTCTGTCCTTATAGAACCTAGAATCTCTTTTCAAGTATGCATGATATTGTTTGCCAGATGACATTCAAAACTAAGACAAGACTATAGTAAATAAGTAGATAACATGTGAATATAAAATAAACTATATTACCAGAAAGAAACTATACATCATAAATAAATGATGCTATATAGAATAAAGAGAATTTTCATGTGTAATATACAGGGGTTAACATATTTTTAACAAATATTAGAGTATGATTAAAATACCATTTCCACTAAAATTACACCAAATTCTTTTTGTTTATTCTTGAAAAGCTGTGAAATATTTCAGCATCACAAAGACCTTCTGCTTTATATATGTTGCACTTTGCCATTAGAAGAGTACAAAAAAATGTGATATCTAATGAATATCTTTAGATGCTAAAGATCTGATAACAGAAAGTGATAAATGTGCGAGTTAAATATGTATGAAAATGTCAACCAATGACAATCAGTATACAAATGAATTCAGATGGTTCCCTGTTTACGATGGAGTCACATTACAATAAACCTATCATAAGCCAAAAATATCAGAAGTTGAAGATACATTTAATGCCTTGATGAACCCATCTTAAATTTGAAAAATTGAAGTCAAACCATGATAAGTCAGGGACTATTTGTAGTTGCATCGCAAGATAGACACAACATAGGGGCACAAACACTATATTCACAATGACAGCTAAGTCCATGGTACATTGACTCTGGGCTTTAATGCAGGAACCAACCTTAGAACTGATGAGGAGGAGAGAATGATTGAGTGTATAATGAATTCTCAGACTGAGAACTATGTAGCAAAGGTTTTCCCCCACACTGTACAACAAAGCCACCTGCAGGCTTTAGCAGACTTGAATCTATTTGATGTTTCTTCTAAAAACTCAAGCCCTGATACCACATTTGAAATTTAGCAGGACCAAGCCTTGCATGGATGTTTTCCCCTTCCAAATGAAGCCCCTGCCCAGTTATTATTTCTCTTTCCACATTTATTTGTATTATGTTGTATTGTATTGCTTCAAATCATTTCAAAATGTTTTTAATGCAATATGCTTCAGAAAAAAAATAGCTCTGAATTCATATGTAATCCTCATGGCATGTTCTTGACATTGACTGTAAAATTCCAAAGCACCTAATTTATTTGATTGATTGATTTTTCAGTGTTTTAAAGGATACCAAGCCCAACAGCATATAATTTTTTTCTTATCAAATGGAATGTAAATGAATAAAAGATAATTGCTTTTTTTGTATTCAGTCTTTTTGTCTTCATAAAGTTTTTTTCTCCCTACAGTTCTAAGGTGAATGAAAAAGCATTCTTTTCTTTATATAGCAATAACAACTCACCCTATTATTCCTCATTAAGGTTCATATGAAGGCCCAGCTCAGAGATCTCATGTTGTGTCACCTCCACCAGAATGCTGCCTTGCTCTGGTACAAACAGACCATGATGTCAGCAAACATGGCACAGCCAAGAGACTAGGGCTTACTTTGGACCTTTCCTATTTGGTGAAGAGAAGCACCTGCCTTCATGGCTCTTTTCTGTTTGGAAGATGCAGTTCTTTCTCTTGAAGTTTGCAGGCCTAAGCACAATGCAAAGAGATTAGGTTTTATTTTTCCAAGGAAACAGGTGGATATAGCCCATAACTTAGATAAATTCCTGTATATAATGGCCTTGAAGAAGCAATTCTTTTCTTATCTTCTCTCCTCCCATTTCTATCCGTTTTCAACTTGGTTAACAGTATGGGGCTGGCCAAAATTGCATTCCCTTATCTTGCTGACCACTGCAATTCCTCTTTGTAATTCCAGCAGCAGGGTATCAAGTGGTTATAAAGAGGCTAGGAGGCTGAAGGACAGGAAAGAGTATTGCTAAAAACCCACTTCACCAACACTAGCATATTCACGACCTACTGCTTACAAGGTACAAAACCCTCCTTTCCATAGCTCTGGAATCCATAACCTAAGAAGGAAGTTGGACAAAATTAGATTTAATTTTAAGAACACTTTCTAAAGATGATAATAAACTCTGCTTACATCTTTGAAATCTGGAAAGTACTTCAACCAATTATTTGCAGTTTTTATTGTGTTAGTCTGTTTGGGGGAGAAGGATGATTGGTGTAGGCAAAATAATTCTTCCTCTAAATCTATTTCAGACTTCAAATCTGATTATAAGTGCCCTCTTAAATTTGGCTTGTCACATATGCAAAACAAACCAAAATGTGAATTTTTTATTCCAAGAATAGTAAGTTGGCTTGTTTTCATTTCTCTAAATCCAATAAAAAAGCACACTAGGGTGAGATTAAGGGAAATGATCCTGTTATTTGTTTTGCCATAGGCCTTTGTGGGGTTCTACAAGGAAAATAAATCAATTACCAAACTATAGATTGAGTACCTACACTGTGCAATATGAGACCACTAATCTTACGGGCTCTCTCATTTTCTGCAAGATTAACCTTCAAGCTCCAGCACTTCCATAGGATCTTTATGCAGATTAATCAGTGACCTCTAGTTATGTGACAAGACTGTATTAATGTAGCGTTCCCCAAGTATATAACATCACAACTATGGGAAAACACAGCTGCAAGAATGGGTCTGGCTGTGTTAGGTTTGACCCAACACTAAAAGCTAGAAGTACTTTGTCAGTAATCATGTCAAAACAATAAAAGTAGACTATATCTGAGAAAGCATCTGGCTAATGTGCTTGTGGTGTGGTGAACTGGACATAAAGTGAGGACATCTTCTTGGAGGGAAGAGCACTACTCATAGTGCGCTCACTATTTCCAGTGTTTATAAGTATCAGTACAATGAAGCATATTTCTCAGAGTGTCTCTCCAAATTACATTGGAAATCATTTTCTAATGATCTCTCTCGCTCCAGCTTTATGAAAAAAAAACTGAATGAATAGAGTTGTTAGGAAAATTTCTAGTGTTGGGTTTAAAGACTTGTTGAAGAAAGGTATTAATAGTTTATCATTGGAGTTAATGATTTGCACCTGAACTGCACAGCTCCCTTATTTTGCCTTTGTATTTAAAGAGTCAGGCACCCCCAGACTGGAGAGCAGGATCCAGTGCAATGGTGACGTCTTGGAAGTAAGAATGTGAGAATCTGTTTATTTAGACAAACTTCCTTTACATCAACTCATGATGAAAAGATGATCCAAAGCCATAAATGTCAAGGAGTAAAAATCAAGGAAAAAAATTTACGAGTTTGGGAGAAAGGCACAGTACAAAAGAGCTTGGCTCCTTTAATCACCACCCTTACCCACAAGCACTACACTGGCAAGTCAACTCAAACCTCAGCTTTCTCACCAATACTCCCAAACCAGACAGATTCTCTTTTGAGAAGATACCCTTATCTGTGACTTCCTTCCTCCTCCCAGGAAGTGGTGACAACAGCTCTTAGGGAAAAACAAGTAAAAGTGGGAAGGAGTCAAGGGATTGACTCTTTCAGAAGGATGTCAAAGCTCAGGGCCTCACGTCAATCCATGTGAGCTATCTCAACCCTGTGGATATCCCACTGTGTGAATGGGTGCACCTCTCAATTAGTTGGGGTGAACCTTGTTATTGAACATTTACGAGATCCTTATAAGTAACCAAGTATTCTAAGATAGACTGCAAATTAACTCAGATTTCTTCACATTATGTAATTCCCTATGAATGTTTTATACTATTTTAAAAGCTTTAATTTGTGTTAAAGAACACAAATTTAATAAATCCAGAATCAAAAGGAAGGGAGGTTACAGGCCTAAGAAAACAAAATGAGGACATAAATAATATCATTGGAGAATACATTGGAAACAACACACAGCATACACAATTGATAATTACAAAGAGAAAATGGTTTGGGATAAGCCCAGTGAAAGCTCATGAAAAAATATAGAGATTAAAGCAACAGAGAAAAACTAATAGAAATGGAAGACAGATGAATGATCCTACATATAGGCTGGACACGGTGGCTCACGCCTGTAATCCCAGCACTTTGGGAGGCTGAGGCAGGCAGATCACTTGAGGCCGGGAGTTCAAGAACAGCCTGGGCAATATGGTGAAACCCTATCTCTACTAAAAATGCAAAAATTAGCCAGGCGTGGTGGCACATGCCTATAATCTCAGCTAATTTGGAGTCTGAGACATGAGAATCTCTTGAGCCCTGGAGGCAGAGGTTGCAGTAAGTTAAGATTGTACCACTTCACTCCAGCCTAGGCAGTACAGAAAGACTCTGTCTTAAAAAAAAAAAAGAAAAAAAAAAGAAACAATGAGCCTACATATAGATATTGGGCAGTCGTAAATTTAAAAATTTAGCAACTTAAGAAGATAAAGCAATTAAAAGTATTCAAAAATTTCCTTAAAATGAAAAAATACTACATTTGCAAATTGACAGAGCACACTATATATTAAGCACACTATACATCAAAACACATCTTGGTGTATGAAACTTACAGGAAAAATAAAGAATACCCTTGAAATCCTAACACAAAAATTAAGTAGCTTCCAAGAGAGAAGAAAAAAGTAATCTCAGCCACACTGAATGATGGGAGTCAGAGGTTTATGAACAAATCTCTAAATGAAGAAAATTGTGGCAGAGAAAATTAAGTTCCACAATGATGTAATTCTAGTCTGAAGGCGATAGGCAGATACTTTAAAATGTTATGGAAACTCATGAATTACAACCGCACAGCCCATTTTTGATATGCTGATTGTCGAGTTAGAAAAAATGAAAAACTAAAATCAAACAAGTTGTGAAATTAAGAGTACAAGAATATAGCAGATACAATTTGAGGGTTGCATGCATGGATTAATCTTAAGTAGAGAATTAACACTAAAAATGAGTGCAGTTTATCATGAAATAGAATGTAAATAGAAGAAACTTTGACATAAAACACATAATTAACAAATTAACAGCATAAAACAAAACAAATAATTAACAAAACCAGGAAGCAAGAAGAGAGGAAAATGGGGAGAATGGTAGAAATGTTAATATTCTCATCGTTACAGCAGCAGGTCAATCTGTACAGTGTCAAGTGAAAACAGATTGATTAAAAACAGTATTGACTCCAGTCTCTCACAATTTTTCATAAATTTTTCTAAACTAAAATTATTCTTTAAGAAACGGTAAATCCATGATCTAGGATAATGAAGGAGAATTTGAGCATGCTTTTAAATTCACATCAATTTATCTTTCTTCTATAATTAAATCCTAATAAAATTAAATATAATACTATACTTACTATACAGTATTTTATTTTTCTATTTAACTTTAATCTTAAGTTCAGGGGTATATGTGCAGGTTTGTTATATAGGTAAACTTGTGTCATAGGGGTTTGTTGTAAAGATTATTTCATCACTCACGTGGTAAGTCTAATATCCACCAGTTATTTTTCCTGACTGTCTCCCTCCTCCCAACCCCTACCCTCATGTAGGCCCCAGTGTGTGTTGTTCCCTTCTATGTGTCCTTGTGTTCTCATCGTTTAGCTCCCACTTACAAGTGAAAACATGTGGTATTTGGTTTTCTGTTCCTGTGTTAGTTTGCTAAGGATAATGGCCTCCAGCTCCATCCATGTTACTGCAAAGGACATGATCTTTTTTATGGCTGCATAGTATTTCATGGAGTATATGTACCATATTTTCTTTATCAAGTCTACCATTGATGGGCATTTAGATTGATTTCATGTCTTTGCTATTGTGAATAGTGCTGCAGTGAACGTATGTGTGCACGTGTCTTTATACTAGAATGATTTATATTCCTTTGGGTGTATACCAAGTAATGGGATTGCGGAGTCAAATGGTATTTCTGTTTTAGGTCTCTGAGGAACTGCCATACTGTCTTCCACAATGACTGGACTAATTTAGACTCTTACCAACAGTGTATAAAAGTTTTAATCTACAACCTTGCCACATCTGTTATTTTTTCACTTTTTAAATAACAGTCATTCTGGGCTGGGCACAGTGGCTCACGCCTGTAATCCCAGCACTTTCGGAGGCCAAGGCAGGCAGACCATGAGGTCAGGAGTTCGAGACCAGCCTGACCAACATGGTGAAACCCCGTCCCTACTAAAAATACAAAAATTAGCTGGACGTGGTGGCAGGCACCTGTAATCCCAGCTACTCAGGAAGCTGACGCAGGAGAATGACTTGAACCTGGGAGGCGGAGGTTGCAGTGAGCTGAGATTGCACCATTGCACTCCAGCCTGGACGACAAGAGCGAGACTTCATCTCAAAAGGAAAAAAAAAAAGAAAAAAAAAATAGTCATTCTGACTGGTGTCAGAGGTATCTCCATGTGGTTTTGATGATTTGCATTGCTCTAATGATCAGTGATGTTGAGTTTTTTTTCATGATTGTTGGCCCCATATATGTCTTCTTTTGAGAAGTGTCTGTTCATGTCCTTTGCCTACTTTTTAATGGGGTTGTTTTTGTAAATCTGTTTAAATTCTTTATAGATACTGGATATTAGACCTTTGTCAGATGCATAATTTGCAAAATTTTTCTCTCATTCTGTAGTTTGCCTGTTCATTCTGTTGACAGTTCCCTTTGCTGTACAGCAGCTCTTTAGTTTAATTAGATCCCATTTGTCAATTTTTGCCTGTGTTGGAGTTGCTTTTGGTTTCTTGATCATGAAATCTTTGCCTATTCCTATGTTCAGAATGGTATTGTCTAGGTTGTTTTCCAGGATTTTTATAGCTGTGGGTTTTACATTTAAGTCTTTATAATCCACCTTGAATTAATTTTAGTATATGTTGTAAGAAAAGGAGTCCAGTTGCAATCTTCTGTATATGGCTAGCCAGTTATCCTAGCACCATTTATTGAATAGGGAATCCTTCCCCATTGCTTGTTTTTGTCACGTTTGTTGAAGATCAGATAGTTGTAAGTGTGCAGCATTATTTCTGGGTTCTCTAGTCTGTTCCATTGGTCTATGTGTCTGCTTTTGCTCCAGTACCATGCTGCTTTGATTACTGTAGCCCTGTAATATAGTTTGAGGCTGGGTATCATGATGCTTCCAGCTTTGCTCTTTTTGCTTAGAATTGCCCTGGATATTTGGACTCTTTTTTGGTTCTATAAGAATTTTGAAACTGTTTTTTCTAGTTTTCCTTGGTTAGCTGTATTCCTTAGTATTTTTTTAGGGGACAATTGTGACTGTGATTGTGTTCCTGATCTGGCTCATGGCTTGACTATTGTTAGTGTATAGGAATGCCAGTGTCCTGCACATTGATTTTGCATCCTGAGACTTTGCTGAAGTTGTTTATCAGCTTAAGGAGCTTTTGGGCTAAGACTATGGGATTTTCTACATATAGGATCACACCATCTGCAAAGAGGGATCATTTGACTTCCTTTCTTCCTACCTGGATGCCCTTTCTTTCTTTCTGTTGCCTGATTTCCCTGGCCAGGACTTCCAATACTAGGTTGAATAGGAGTGGTGAGAGAGGGCATCCTTGTCTTGTGCCAGTTTTCAAAGGGAATGCTTCCAGCTTTTGCCCATTCCATATGATATTGGCTGTGGGTTTGTCATAGATGGCTCTGATTATTTTGAGATATGTTCCTTTAATATCTAGTTTATTGAGAAATTTTAACATAAAGCAGTTTTGAGTTTTATTGAAAGCCTTTTCTGCGTCTATTGAAATAATCATCTGGTGTCTTTAGTTCTGTTTACATGTTGAATCATATTTATTAAGGGGGATATTTTGAACCAACCTTACAACCCAGGGATAAAGCCTACTTGATCATGGTAGATAAGCTTTTTGATGTGCTACTGAATTCAGTCTGTGAATATTTTGTTAAGAATTTTTGCACTGATGTCCCTCAAGGATATCAACCTGTAGTTTTATTTTTTTGTTGTGTCTCTGCCAGGTTTTGGTATCAGGATGATGCTGGCCTCATAGAATCAGGTAGGGAGGAGTTCTTCCTCCTCACTTTTTTGGAATAGTTTCAGCAGGAATGGTACCAGCTCTTCTTTGTACATCTGGTGGAATTTGGCTATGAATCCATCTGGTCCAGGGCATTTTTTATTGGCAGGTTATTTACTACTGACTCAATTTCAGAGCTCATTATTGGTATCTTCAGGGATTAAATTTCTTCCTGGTTCAGTCTTGGGAGGGTGTGTATGTCCAGGAATTTATCAATTTCTTGTAGATTTTCTAGTTTATGTACATAGAGGTGTTTATAATATTATGTGATGGTTGTTTTCTATTTCTGTGAGGTCAGTGATAATATCCTCTTTATCAGTTCTGATTGTGTTTATTTGAAAATCTTGTATTTCCTTCTTTTTCAGTCTAGCTAGTGGTCTATCTATTTTAGTAATTTTTTTTAAAAGAACAGCTTCTGCATTTCTTGATCTCTTGAATAGTGTTTTGATTCTCAATCTCCTTCAGTTTAGCTTTAATTTTGATTATTTCTCGTCTTTTGCTAGCTTTGGGATCTGTTTGCTCTTGGTTGTGTAGTTCTTTTAGTTGTGATATTAGGTTGTTAACTTGGGATCTTTCTAACTTTCTGATGTGGGCATTTAGTGCTATAAATTTCCCTCTTAACACTGACTTAGCTGTCTCCCAGAGATTCTCATATGCTGTATCTTTGTTGCCCTTAATTTCAAAGAACTTCTTGATTTCCACCTTTATTTTATTATTTACCCAAAAATTATTCAGGAGCAGCTTGTTCGATTTCTGTATTAGTCCATTTTCATGCTGCTCATAAAGACATACCCAAGACTGGGTAATTTATAAAGAAAAAGAGGTTTCATGGACTCACAGTTCCACACGGCTGGGGAGGCCTTAGAATCATGGCAGAAGGTGAAAGGTACATCTTACATGGTGGCAGGCAAGACAGTATGCGAGCCAAGTGAAAGGGGAAACCCCTTATAAAACCATCAGATCTCACGAGACTTATTCACTACCACGATAACAATATGTGGGAAACCACTCCCATGATTTAATTATCTCCCACCAGGTCCCTCCCATAACATGTGGGAATTATGTGGGCTACAATTCAAGATGAGATTTGGGTGGGAACACAGCCAAATCATATCATTCCACCCCCTTGCCCCTCCCAAATCTCATGTCCTCACATGTCAAAACCAATCATGCCTTCCCAACAGTTCTCCAAATCTTAACTCATTTCAGCATTAACTCAAAAGTCCACAGTCCAAAGTCTCATCTGAGACAAGGCAAGTGCCTTCCGCCTATGAGCCTGTAAAATCAAAAGCAAGTTAGTTACTTCCTAAATACAATGGAGGTACAGGCATTGGATAAATACTCCCATTTCAAATGGGAGAAATTGGCCAAAATGAAGGGGCTAAAGGCCCCATGCAAGTCCGAAATTCAATGAGGCAATCAAATGTTAAAGTTCCAAAGTGATCTCCTTTGGCTCTGTGTCTCACATACAGGTTATGGTTACTGCAAGATGTGGAACCTCATGATCTTGGGCAGCTCTGCCCCTGTAACTTTGCAAGGTACAGCCTCCCTCCTGGCTGCTTTCATAGACTGGTGTTAGGTGTCTGCAGCTTTTCCAGGCACATGGTTCAAGCTGTTGGTGGATCTACCATTTTGGGGGCTGGAGGATAGTAGCCCTCTTCTCACAGCTCCACTATGCAGTCCCCCAGTGGGGACTCTGCGTGGGGGCTTCAACCCCACATGTCCCTTCTGCACTGCCCTAGGAGAGGTTATCTTTAATGGTCCTACCCCTGTAGCAAAATTCTGCCTGGACATCCAGGTATTTTCATACATCCTCTAAAATCTAGGTGGAGGTTTCCAAACCTCAATTCTTGATTTCTGTGCACCCACAGGCTCAACACCACCTGGAAGCTCCCAAGGCTTTGGGCTTGCACCCTCTGAAGCCATGGCCCATTTTTCCCTCCTATGCCTCTGGGCCCATGATGGGAAGGGCGGCCATGAAGGCCTCTGACATGCCCTGGAGACATTTTCCCCATTGTCTTGACAATTAATATTTGGCTTCTCATTACTTACACAAATTCCTGCAGCCAGCTTGAATTTCTCCCCAGAATATGGGGTTTTCTTTCCTATCACATCATTGGGCTGCAAATTTTTCAAACATTTTATGCTCTGCTTCCTCTTGCTCACTTGGCTGCTGAGAAATTTCTCCCACCAGATACCCTAAATCATTTCTCTCAAGTTCAAAATTCCACAGATCTCTAGGGCAGGGGCAAAATGTCACCAGTCTCTTTATATAGCAAGACTGACCTTTACTCCAGTTCCCAACAAGTTCCTCATACCTATCTGAGACTACCTCAGCCTGAATCTTGTTGTCCATATCACTATCAGCATTTTGGTCAAAGCCACTCAACAAGTCTAGGAAGTTCCAAACTTTTCCACATTTTTCTATCTTCTGAGCCCTCCAAACTGTTCCAACCTCTGTCTGTTATCCAGTTCCAAAGTCACTTCTACATTTTTGTGTATCTTTGCAGCAATGCCCCACTCTGCTGGTACCAATTTACTGTATTAGTCTGTTTTCACACTGCTGATAAAGGCATACATGAGACTGAGTAATTTATAAAGAAAAAGAGGTTTAATGAACTCAGAGTTCCACATGGCTGGGGAGGCATTACAATCATGGCAGAAGGTGAAAAGCATGTATTACATGGTGGCAGGCAAGAGAGAATGAGAGCCAAGTGAAAGGGGGAACCCCTTATATAACCACCAGATCTCATTTAAGTTATTCACTATTATGAGAACAGTATGGAGGAAACCATCCCCATGATTCAATTATTTCCCACCAGGTCCCTTCCACAACATGTGGGAATTATGGGAGCTACAATTCAAAATGAGATTTGGGTGGGGACACAGCCAAACCATATTGATTTCCATGTAATCGTATGGCTAGGAGTGAATTTATTAGACTTGATTTCTAATTTCATTGCACTGTTGTCTGAGAAATTGTTTGTTATGATGTCAGTTATTTTGCATTTGCTAAGGAGTGTTTTAAATTTAATTATGTGATCAAATTTAAAGTATGTGCCATGTGGTGATGAGAAGAATGTATATTCTGTTGTTTTTGGGTGGAGAGTTTAGTAGATGTCTATCAAGTCTATTTGATTCAGTGCTGAGTTCAGGCCCTGAATATCTTTGTCAATTTTCTGTCTTAATGATTTGTCTAAAATTGTCAGTGGGGTGTTAAAGTCTCCTACTAGTATTACAGAGCAGTCTAAGTCTCTTTGAAGGTCTCTAAGAACTTGCTTTATGAATCTGAGTGCTCCTGTGTTGGGTGCATATATATTTAGGATAGTTAGGCCTTCCTGAATTGAACCCTTTACCATTATGTAATGCCCTTCTTTGTCTTTTTTTATCTTTGTTGGTTTGAAGTCTGTTTTGTCTGAAACTAGAATTGCAACCCCTGCTTTTTTCTGTTTTCCATTTATTTGGTAGATTTTTCTCCATCTCTTTATTTTGAACCTATGTGTGTCATTGCATGTGAGATGAATCTCTTGAAGACAGCATATGAATGGGTCTTGGTTCTTTATCCAACATGCGACTTTATGTCTCTTATCGGGTCATGTAGCCTATTTACATTCAAGGTTAGTACTGACATGTATGGATTTGATCCTGTCATTATGATATTAGCTGGATATTTTTCACAGTTGTTTAGTGATTACTTCATAGTGTCACTCGTCTGTGTACTTTGCTGTGTTTTTGTAGTGGCCAGTGATGAATGGTCTTTCCTTTCCATATTTAGTTCTTCCTTCAGGAACTTTCATAAGGCAGGTCTGGTGGTAACATATTCCCTCAGCATTTGCTTGTCTGAAAAAGATCTTATTTCTCCTTCACTTATGAGGCTTAGTTTGGCAAGATATGAAATTCTGTGTTGGAAATTCTTTTCTTTAAGAATATTGAATGTTGGCCCCTGATCTCTTTGGCTTGTAGGGTTTCTACTGAGAGTTCCACTGTTAGTCTGATGGGCTTCCCTTTGTAGGTGACTTGACCTTTCTCTCAAGCTGCCTTTAACATTTTTTATTTCACTTCAACCTTGGAGAATCTGATGATGATGTGTCTTGGGGATAATCTTCTCATGAGTATCTTACTAGGTTTCTCTGTATTTTCTGAATTTGAATGTTGGCCTCTCTAGCTAGATTGGAGAAGTTCTCATGGGTGATATCCTGAAATATGTTTTCCAAGTTGGTTCCATTCTCCCTAACTCTTTCAGGGACACCAGTGAGTTGTAGATTTGGTCTCTTTACAAAATCCTATATTTCTCAGAGGTTTTATTTTTTCCTTTTCATTCTTGTTTCCCTGTTTTTGTCTGGCAGTCTTATTTCAGAAAGGCAGTCTTCAAGCTCTGAGATTCTTTCCTCCATTTGGTCTATTGTGCTATTAATACTTGTGAATGCATTTTAAACTTCTTGTAGTGTGTTTTTCAGCTCTGTCCTGTCAGTTATGTTCTTTTCTATACTGTCTATTTTGTCTGTCAGCTCATGCATTGTTTTATCATAATTTTTAGCTTGCTTGGATTGGTTTTTAGCTGGCTTGGATTGAGTACTTCTGTAGCTCAATTGCTCCTCTCCATATTCTGAATTCTATTTTCAGCCATCTCAACCTGGTTTAGAACCCTTGCTGGAGAGGTAATGTGGTCATCTGAAAGAAAGAGGGCACTCTGGCTTTTTGAGTTGTCAGGGTTCTTGCACTGATTCTTTCTTATGTTTATGAGTGTATCTACCTTCAATCTTTGAGGATGCTGACCTTTGGAATTTTTTCTTTTATCTTATTTGATGACCTTCAGGGTTTGATTATGGTATAAAGTGGATTCTGCCAAATGGCTTTTTTTCTGGAAGATTTTAGGGGGCCAACACGCAGCTCCCAACTTCTGGACTGCAAGTTCTAAATCTGAGGGACTTGTATTTGGCCATGACTTTGTCCTCTGGCTCCTTGAGGTTAGAAATCCACTGTGCTGGCAGGCCCAAGGTGCTTCTGGGCCACTGGTCACTACACTCCCATAGGGCAGTGTCAGACAAAGCATTTTGTAGTGCGGTGACAGTGGAATTCATCCTCACAGCATCAGCTGCGGTAGACTGCTAGTGGGTGCCAGGGTACCTGCCTCCCTGCAGGCATTCACCACAGTGGTGGAGGCCACTCAGCTAGGTGGGGGTTGAGGGAGCTCCTCCTGGTGACTGTGCGCATGGTCATGCTGGAGGTGGTGTTGGCTTGTAGGCAGGACACTGGTGAGTGCAGGTCTGGGTGCTTTTTCTGTGCCCCACAAGCAGGAGTGGTTGCTTGGGGGCGGTGGAGGATCTGCTGTTCTCTGCACAGTGTTAGCACAAGGGCAGAGCACTGGCTGGGGCAAGGCTGGCCGGCTCTGTGCCTGTCAAGGCTTTGTCAGCAATGGCAGTCGGCAGAGAGAGGTGGGGCAGACTTCATTACCGCTTGCTGTCAGGGCAAAGAATGCAAAACTTGCCTGCAGACATGCTCCAGCAAAGCAATGTGGAAAGTTTCCTTGGTCCCAGGAAGAAGCTGCAGTATGGACAGGGGGCATGTGGGCTGGTGCGCGGTTGCAAGGGCCGCCCCACTGGAGCTCTCCACCAGTCAAGCATGGTCTGCCAGAGTGGAAGCTATGGTGTAAGTTCCCAGGGTATCCAAAACTGTCCTCCAAGCATGCATAGCCAGGCTGGGGACCTGGGAGAAGCCAGCGGACCAAAGGGTGCTCAGGTTGGACTGGCCCCTCTCTGCTGGGCAAGAACAAAGAGTTCAGGTCCAACAGATTCCCTAGGGCTAAAGTCTCCTGTGGGACCAAGTTGAGCCTAGGGAGATGGCCATCTCTGGCCATGCTCTGCTATAGATGCTCCATCACCGAATCTCTGGGCTTCATGTCAGCTGGCTTGCTGCCCCTACCACTTTTCTAAGCAGCTGTCCATGCCAACAAGAGTATTTGTGGTGGTTGAGGGATCTCCTCCTGCCAGGGTTCCAGAGGACTCTGGCAGGAGCAGGTTGCTCCTTGCCGGTTCAACACACCCATTTCCCAGGAGCCACTGGGGGACAGGAACAAGTCCCTGTGTGCAATAACCCCATGCAGGTTTGCCAGCTTTCTCCCATCAGCCCAGCTTCTGTGTCTTCCCTCCATCCACTCTCAGTGCCTTCTCTCTCAATACTTACTATATAATTTTTTTAAGTAACAAAATAGTACATTGATATTTTGTTGTCTTTGTTTCATTGGGTATAACTTACATACAGTAAAATTTGTTTTTAGGTAAATATAATTCTATGGGTTTGTCAAATAACATCATTTAATTATCACCACGATAAAGACATAAAATATTTCCATCACTCCAGAAATTTTTCTAAGGCCCCTTTGTAGTCAATCCTCACTCTAACCTGATCCTGCTGGAAAACCACTGAGAAGTTTTCTGTCCTTATAGCTTTGTCTTTTATTGGATGTCATATAAACATAATTATATTGTGCATTTGAGTCTAATTTCCTTACTTAGCACTGTGCTTTTTTTGATATTCACCTGAGTTACCGCATGCACGTTTGATTTTTTGTTGTTGCAAAATATTATTCCATTGTATGGATATGCCATAATTTGTCTACCTATCCACTTACCATCTGAGGGACATTTGGGTTGCTTCCCGATTTTTGGCAATGAAAAAAGTTGCTGTGAACATTCACACATTGGTTTATGTGTAAACATCTATTTATTTCTACCTCTTTTTGATAAACACCTTTAAATGGGTTTTCTGGTTGTACAATAAATGTGTATTGGTTAATTAACTCACTGAGAAACTGCTGAACTGTTTCTCAAGGTGTTTGTACAATTTTGTACAACATATCAGAATTCCAGTTGCTCTGCATCCTGGCCAACACTTGGTACTGTCACTTTTCAAAAATAACATTTTTCAAAAATATGCCCGGGCACGGTGGCTCATGCCTGTAATCCCAGCACTTTGGGAGGCTTAGGTGGGTGGATCACTTGAGCCCATAAGACTGGGACCAGTCTGGGCAACATGGCAAAACCCTGTCCATACAAATATTCAAAAAATTTAGCCAGGAGTGGTGGTACATGCCTGTAGTCCCAGCTACTTGGGAACCTGAGGTGGGAACATCATCTGAGCCCAGAAGGTCAAGGCTGCAGTGGGCTGTGATTGTGCCATGGGACTCTTGCCTGGGTGACAAAGTCAGACCTCATCTAAAAAAAAAAAAAAATAGAAAAGAAAAGAAAATTATACTCTGGTGCTTGCCCGCCAACAATGGATTGGATAAAGCAAATGTGGTACATATATGCTATAGAATGCTACACAGCGGTAAAATAGAATGAAATTATGTCATTTCCAGCAATATGGATTCAGGTGGAGGCCATTATCCTAAGCAAATTAACACAGGAAGAAAAACACCAAATATCACATGTTCTCACTTATAAGTGGGAGCTAAACATTGGGTACACATGAACATAAAGATGAAAACAATAAACACCGGTGACTACACGGGTAGGGAATGGTGGAGACAGATGGGGACAGCGGCTGAAAAACTACCTATTGGGTACTGTGCTCACTATGTGGGTGATGGGACCATTTGTACCCCAAACCCCAGTGTCACACAATATACTTATGTAACAAGCTTGTACATATATCTGCATAATTGAAAGTTGAAATTATTTTTAAAAAGAAACATAAAAAATAATGCCAATAGGCATCTAGTTATCTTCTTTGTTTTTTGTTTGTTTGTTTGTTTTTGTCTATTTGCCTATCTATATACCTGGAATAATGCCTAAAAGTCTGTTTTGTTTTGGCTTAATGGTGGGGTAGAGGGAGGTTTGGAAATTTGTAGCTTTTTCCTGAATTGCTTAAATTCTTTATAATGAGGAAATATTATTTATTAGAAACAAAGTGAGTTTTAGAAAATCTAAATACTATTTTAACAGCTGTTCAACACCCTAAATTATGAATATTCTAAAAACCATTTAACCATTTCTTTATTTGGGGATATTTAGATTGTTTCCAGTTTTTTATAAGATGAGAACAACTGTTCATTTCTTTGTATAAACCTTTGTTAGAGAAAACAGGAAATTTTGAATTTTTAATATATAGCTCCAAGATGCTTAGCAAAATATACTACTGTATACTCCAAAGAAAAATATGTAGGATGCCCGTATCCTCATACCTTTATTTGCACTACATATTTGCATTTATAAAAGTCTCTGTTAACTTGCCAAATAACGGATAGTCAAGTGATCTTTCATTGGCAAATATTTTCTCTATACGGAAGTCTGCATTTCAATCTATTTGTTCTCTTTAGTAAATCTATAATGTTTTTTAAGTTTTATTTTAGGTTCAGAGGTATGTGTGCAGGTTTGTTGTAAAGGTAAATTGCATGTTATGGGAGTTTGGTGTACAGATTATTTTGTAACCGAGGTAATAAGCATAATACTTAGTAGGTAGTTTTCCAATTCTCACCCTTCTCACCCTTCTCCCATGCTCCACCCTCAAGTAGGCCTCAGTGTCTGTTGTTCCCTTCTTTGTGTCCATGTGTACTTGATGTTTAGCTCCTACTCCTAAGTGAGAACATGTGATATTTGGTTGTCTGCTTCTGTGTTAGTTCGCTTAGGATAATAGCCTCCAGCTGCATCAATGTTTCTGCAAAGGACATGATCTTTTTCCTTTTTATGGCTGTGTAGTATTCCATGGAGTATATGTACCATGTTTTCTTCAACCAGGCTACTGTTCATGGGAATTTAGGTTGATTCCACATACTCGCTATTTTGAATAGTGCTGTGATGAACATAGGCATGCATGTGTTGTTATGGTAGAATAATTTATATTCCTTTAGGTATATACCCAGTAATAGGATTGCTGGATTGGATGGTAATTCCGTTTTGAGTTAAGAAATCACCAAAATGCTTTCCTCAATGGCTGACCTAATTTACATTCCCACCAACAGTGTATAAGCATTCCCTTTTCTTTGCAACCTCACCAGAAACTGTAATTTTTTGACTTTTTGATAATAGCCATTCTGACTGGTGTGAGATGGTATCTCATTGTAGCTTTGATTTATGTTTCTCAAACGATGAGTGATACTGAGATTTTTCTCATATGTTTGTTGGCTGCATGTGTCTTTTCTTTTGAAAACTATCTGTTCATGTCCTTTACCCACTTTTTAATGGGGTTGTTTTTTGCTTGTTGATTTGTTAAAGTTCCTTATAGGTTCTGGATATTAGACCTTTGTTGGAAGCATAGTTTGCGAATATTTCCTCCCATTCTGTAGGTTGTCTGTTCACTCTGTTGATGGTTTCTTTTGCTGTGTGGAAGCTCTTTAGCTAGGTTGGGGAAGTTTTCATGAATGATATCCTCAAATATATTTTCCAAGTTGTTTGCTTTCTCTCCCTTTCTTTCAAGAACACCAGTGAGTCATAGATTTGGTATCTTTATGTAATCTCATATTTCTCTTATTTGTCTTTATTTATTTTTAATCCTAATGAGTTGTTTCAAAGAACCAGTCTTCCAGCTCTGAGATTCTTTCCTCAGCTTGGTCGATTCTGCTGTTAATACTTGCAATTGTACTCTGAAATTCTTGAAGTGAGTTTTTTATAGTTCAGTCAGATACATTTTGTTCTTTCCTAAAATGGCCATTTTTTTCTTTTATCTCTTAAATCATTTTTATTGTATTTCTTAAATTCCTTGGATAGGGTTTCAACTTTCTCCTGGATTTCAGTGGTCTTTGTTCCTATCCATATTCTCAATTCTATTTCTGTCATTTCAGCCATTTTGGTCTGGTTAAAAATCATTGCTGGTTAACTAGTACAGTTATTTGGAGGTAAGAAGACACTGGCTTTTTGAGTTGCCAGAGTTCTTGTGCTAGCTCTTTCTCATCTGTGTGAGGTGATATTCCTCCCATCTTTGAAGTTGTTCTCCTCTGAATGGATTGACTTTTTTTTTTCTTTATCATCTTTGATTATCTTGGGGGTTTGATTGTGGTATAAGGTAGGTTCAGTTGACTGGGTTCATTTCTGGAAGATTTTAGGGCTCCAGGGCACAGCTCAGCACTCCTGATGTGTGTGCTCTAACTCTGGGGAGCTGGTACTGAGCCCCTGGCTTTGTTCTCTAGCTCCTGGAGGTTAGGAACCTACTGCACTGGAGGGGCTTAGGTGCTGCCATTTTGCTGGCCAAAGGACTTCTTTGGGGTGGTGGCAGCAGGATCCATGTTCGCTGATGTATGCCAGCAGCTGTGGCAGCAAAGCGGGGTGCATGCACATTGGCTGGGGTGGTGATATGGCTTGGATTTTGTGACCCCACCCAAATCTCATGTTCAATTGTAATCCCCAGTGTTGGAGGAGGGGCCTGGTGGAAGGTGATTGGATCCTGGAGGCCAACTTCCCTTGCTATTCTTGTGAGAGTGAATGAGTTCTCATAAGATGGGTTTGTTTAGAAATGTGTAGCACCTCCCTTCTCTCTCTTCCTTCTTCTCCAGCCATGTAAGACATGACTCCTTCCCCTTTGCCTTCCTCTGTGATTATAAGTCTCCTGAGACCTTTCCAGCCATGCTTCCTGTGCAGCCTGCAGAACTGTGAGTCAATTAAACTTCTTTTCTTTATAAATTACCCAGTCTCAGGTAGTTCTTTATAGCAATGTGAGAACAGACTGATACAGGTGGGGTACTGGTGGAAATGGGGCTGCAGCTTTCCTGCATGTGCGGATGCTGTCAGTGGAGCACAGGTGGGGGCATGGTTGTCAGTGTCCATGCTTGCAGTTGCCCTGGCAGTGGTGGGGTGCTGCCCCACATCTGCCAGCTCTGTGTGTGCATTCACACTGCTGGGGGAGGGGGGTGGTGGAGTTGCCAGCATTCATGTGTTTGCACCATTAGTGGTGGCAGTGCTGGGGGAGCAGGGCCACTGGTATCCACGCACATGACTGCAGTGGTGGCATGGAGGTTGGGAGGAATTTCTGGTGTCCATGCACACATTCATGCTGGTGGTAGTGTTGGCACAGGTGTGGGGGCATAGCTGCTGGCATCTGTGTGCACATTTGCACCGGTGGTGAGGTGGAGCTGCTGGTGTGCATGAACTCGTTAGTGCCAGTGGCGTGACTGTGCGTGTGTTTGTGTGTATCACCATTGTCAATGCACGTGTTTATGGTAGCAATGGCAGTATGGCTGAATAGCAACGTTTTGGGGGTTGGGAGGACAGTGAATTGTGGTCACGCTGGCAGCAGTGTTGGGTTGTGTACATTCATATACACCAGCAAGGGAGGGAATGCTAGGCTCATCTGTGTGCACACACCAGCAAAGCCATGGCAGGGAGAGGGGGTTATGGGTGAGTGCGTGCCAGCTAAGCAGTATAAGAGTCTGCACTGGGGGTGGGGTTGGGCACACTGTGCGGGGGAGGATGGGGAGGGGGTGCTGCTCTGCTGGAGCTCTCTAATGGTCAGGCGCCACCTGCTGGTGAAAGAGCTATCATGAGGGTCTCCAGGAAGCACCCTAGTTAGGCGTCATTTGCCAGCGGGTGTGGCCTGGCTGGGGCCTTGGGAGAGGCCAGAAGCCAGGAGGACACTCAGATGAAATTGGTTCCATTACATGGGCAAGACCGCCCTGCTCTGTCCAGGTCCAACAGTCTCCCTCTGGCCAAAGTCTCCTGGAGGAACATGGCAGGACTTGGGGGCTGGGCATACCTGGTCCACTCTAGTGCTCCACTGCAGACATTTCTGTACCAAACCGTCTGGGCTCTACAAAGGCTAGAGTACTACAAAGGCTAGAGTACCACCTCTCAAAGCAGCTCTTCATGCCAGCTCAAGTGTCTGTGGGAAGTCCATGGTAGAGCAGGCTACTCCTCATATTGTCCAGTTCCTTTTTTCTTAAGTCTTACAAACTCTATTCATTTCCAGTTACTTAGGGTAGCACCTTTTCTCCCACTCCTTTCAGTGAGGCTGTTTCATACACTTGTAACACAGTTGCATTCTGTTGTCAGTCTTCATTCATTCCTGGGATCCCATGATCTCCTAAATGATATTTTTGTTTTCATTTGCCTGTATTAAGTTTCAATCTTTGTGTTGTAAAGTTCTATAACATTTTTGACATATGCACAATGCCAAATACCCACCATCACAGTGTCCTGAAAGATAGTTTTACTGTCCTGAAAATTGTCTGTATTCTACCTATTCTGTCTCTCTTACCTTTCCCCCAAAATGATGACAACCACAAATCTCTTTAATGCTTCCATAGTTTTGCCTTTTTCATAATGTCATATAGTTAAGATTGACTTTTTTCACTTAAAAATATGTATTTAATGTTACCCATGTCATGGCTTGATAGTTTATTTCTTTTTAAGTCATTGAATAAATTTCTATTGTTTGGATGTAGCACAGTTATTTACCTACTTGCCTACTGGGGTACATCTTGGTTGCTTCCAAATTTGAACAATTATGAATAAAACTGCCATAAACAGTTATGTGCAAACTTTATGTGGACAGCTTTCAGCTCATTTAGGCAAATACCAAGGAGCTCAATTGTTGAATCTTATGGGAAGACAATGTTTAGTTTTATAAGACTGCCAAACTATTTTCCAAAGTAGCTGTCAGGCCTCTGAGCCCAAGCTAAGCCATCATATCCCCTGTGACCTGCACATATACATCCAGATGGCCTGAAGCAACTGAAGATCCACAAAAGAAGTGAAAATAGCCTTAATTGATGACATTCCACCATTGTGATTTGTTTCTGCCCCACCCTAGCTGATCAATGTACTTTGTAATCTCCCCCACCCTTAAGAAGGTTCTTTGTAATCTCCCCCACCCTTAAGAAGGTTGTTTGTAATTCTCCCCACCCTTGAGAATGTACTTTGTGAGATCCACCCCCTGCCTGCAAAACATTACTCCTAACTCCACCTCCTATCCCAAAACCTATAAGAACTAATGATAATCCCACCACACTTTGCTGACTCTGTTTTGGGACTCAGCCCGCCTGCACCCAGGTGAAATAAACAGCCTTGTTGCTCACACAAAGCCTGTTTGGTGGTCTCTTTACACGGACACGAGTGACAGTAGCTGTATAATTTTTCATCCCCACCAGCAATGAATGAGAGTTCCTATTGCTCCACATCCTTGTCAGCATTTGGTATTGTTAGTTTTTTGCACTTAACATTCTTATGGTTATGTACTGGTATCTTCTTGTTGCTTTAATTTGCAAATCCCTGATGATATATAATGTTGAGCATCTTTCATATGCTTATTTTCATCTGTATATCTTTTTTGATAAGATGTCTGTTCAGATCTTTGAGTTGTTAATTTTCTTATTATTCACTTTTAAGTGTTCTTTGTATATTCTGGATACAAGTTTTTTGTGAGGTATTCTACATACATTTTCTCATATTCTGTGGCTTGCCATTTCATTTTCTTAACAGTGTCTTTCACAGAGAAGTTTTTAATTTTGATAAAGCCAAACATCAATTTTTCTCTTATGCATGTTTTTTGTTTTATTTAAAAGCTCATCACTGAATCCAAAGTAACCTATATTTTCTGTGTCATATTCTAGAAATGTTATAGTTTTGTATTATATAAATAGTTCTATAATCTATTTTAAGGCATTTTTGTAAAAAGTGTAGGGTCTATGTCTAAATTCTGTTGCCATTGCATATGGCTGTCCAATTGTTCCAGTGCCATTTATTGAAAATATTATCTTTTCTTCATTGATTTGCTTTTGTTCTTCTGTCAAAGATAAGTTAACTATATTTGAAGATATTTCTTATGGAGAACATTCTAGGTGCATTTTAAATGATTACTTTTCTCATTCCCTGTGCTAGACGTGAGGGAATTTTTCATGAGTCTTCAATCCTTGAGAACCTGATGGGATTCTTAGAGGTAAAAGTGTTGTGGTCCTCCTAAGGTGAGGTGCCCAAGGAATTTCTTACCTTTAGGCTAATCCAGACTCAGCCTCTAGCAATTCATTAACATTTAAGTGTTTCTACCAGTTTATGGCTGCAGTGGCTTTTGCCCAAGGTTAGCTTATCTGGAATGTGATACCTCATATTCACCTGTCTGTAGATTTTATAGGGTGGCAGTTTACCCTGGGATCTCAATTATATATAAATTAAAGAAATGTCCATGATTTTAAGTTTGTTCAGCTCTTTTCTTGTAAGTGTCACACACGTCTGTGCAGAGAGAGTCCACCAACAGGCTTTGTGTGAGCAACAAGGCTGTTTATTTCACTTGGGTGCAAGTGGGCTGAGTCTGAAAAGAGAGTCAGCAAAGGGAAATAGGGGTGGGTCAGTTTTATAGGATTTGGATAGGTAGTGGAAAAATCACAGTTAAAGGGGGTTATTCTCTGGCTGGGGCGGGAGTCACAAGGTGCTCAGTGGGGGAGCTTCTGAGACTCATTGTGCAGGAGAAGGAATTTCACAAGGTAATGTCATCAGTTAAGGCAGGAACCGGCCATTTTCACTTCTTTTGTGGTTCTTCTGTTGCCTCAGGCCATCTGGATGTATACATGCAGGCTTGGGCTCAGAGGCCTGACAGTGAGGATAAGAGTGATGATTTCCAAGCTGCTTAGGTAAAGGAGCTGAAAAAAAGAAGTCTCCAAATCTTGTTTTTAATAAATCAACATTCATGGCCTTAACTACCATGTTATACTTCTCTCTATTCCCTCCATTGGTCTTTGTGCTCTGTTGATTAAATTGTTACAGTGTTCAAATGCATAGCAGTACCTAATATGATTATCCCCTCCTCATGTCTTCTCTAGCGATGCTTTTTCTAATCTACTTGAAACTTTATTTTTCAGAAAGGCTTTAAGTCATTTTTTTCAAAGCCCTAAAGTTAAATATATTTAAGTTTTATTTGGAATAACATTTAAACCTGTAAATTTAATACAGATGAATTGATATCTTTATAATATTCACTCTCCTCTTACAGTAATATATGACTCGTCATTTATTATGGCTTCATTCTTGATAACTCTTACAAATTTTATAGCTTTTCTTTTTTATAAAGTTCTTATATGCTATCATGTTGAATTTATTAATTGTGTTACATATTCAAAAGTTCTATTCTCTTGTATAATTTCAGGTACTTAGGTTGATGAAGTTTGAAAGTGGTATATTAAATTCCCTCATTAAAGCTTTGAAATCCTCTAGTTAAGATTCTGAATTTCTTACTATATTTTTAAACTTCTGTGTAGGTTTTTAATAAAATCAACTAGTTACTCTGTCATGAGATTAGAGTTTAAAAAAATCAACTAGCTCTTTTAAAAATTTAATCTATAATTTGCCTTAATGTTTCATTTATTTATTATTTTTATTTTTATTTTTATTTTGAGATGGAGTCTTGCTCTGTCGCCCAGGCTGGAGTGCAGTGGCACGATCTTGGCTCACTGCAAACTCCACTGCCTGGGTTCACGCCATTCTCCTGCATCAGCCTCCCAAGTAGCTGGGACTACAGGCGCCCGCCACCATGCCTGGCTAATTTTTTTGTATTTTTAGTAGAGACGGGGTTTCATCGTGTTAACCAGAATGGTCTCGATCTCCTGACCTCATGATCCGCCCGCCTCGGCGTGAGCCACCACGCCTGGCCTATTTATTATTTTTTATGAACTTCTATTATTATTTCATATAAATTTTTTCCCTATCATATTGAGACATTAACAGATACATTACAGAATAATTTTCCACTCACTTTATGAGGTATACTTTTTCAAAAATTTTCAGAATAATATTACCTTTCTCTTATGATGAGTTTTCTCCTTTGTCTTAACTTTTTTGACTCATATATTTGCTCATCTAACAAAAAATATGCTGAGATTCAATTCTGCTTCAGTCTCTGGAATATGTGCTTAAGATATAAAGTACTTTGAGACTTTGCCCCAGCAGTCATGAAACAGAGAGTATTATAGTGAAGACAGATAATGAAATAAATAATTACAATCTGATAAACACTGTCATTGAGGTAGATCACAAATTGGCTGTTAAATCTTAATTGATATCTCTAAACCTCTACTTCCTTGTGTGTTAAAATAGGATAAGAATAACACCTATCTTCTAGGAATATTGTGAGAAAAAAATGAGGTCAAGCGTTTAAATGGACAATTAGGTTGGCTGGTACAGAGCAGTTGTTTAAAAACTGTTAGCTATTATTTTTGCCATGAACAGCTCACCATGAACTCCCTGTCTAAAATTCTGCCATCACTCATTTTCTGTCCCAATGACCTGTATTATTTCTTTAAAGCACTTATTTCTATGTGACATTCTCTTATTTGTTTGTTTGCTGTTTCTTGTATACTTCCTCCCATAAGGATGTAACATTCAAACAGACAGACTATTTTTATTGTCACTGCTTGCTTTTGCCCAGTGTCTGGAAAAAAGATGTTCAACCAAGAATTAATACATAATATAGACGTTTATTTTTCCAATAGCTTTATTTTCTCAATTTATGGTAATTATAAAAAATATAGAAACTACAAAACTGTATTAAAAATATAAAATATCCCTAGTCTCATCATCCAAATGCTGCTTTATGCATTTCAGTGAATTTTCTTCCCAAGTTTTTCTATGTAGATACCAATTAGGCCATATTGTATGTACAATCATGTATCCTGCTCTTTTTCTTTTAATTTCACAGTCTATGCTTTTTTCTCATATTTCGAAACTCTTTTTTTCCATGGCTACATAATACAATATTACGTGCTCATTCAGCAAAACTCTCATTATTGCATATTAAGTACTGCAACATTTCCTACAGTAACCTAAAAGTATAAGAACAGCATTAAGTATTTTATATCTATATATATATTCATCTATTCAATAAATACTAATTAAATTTTTATTATATGTTGGGAATATAAGAGAAAATAAGTAAACAGTGTCCTTGCTGTGATGGAGCTTCCACTCTAGTGGAGAAGACACATGATTTATAACCAATCTCTCACCATTATTTCTATCATAATGATGAGGTTTTACAGAGGAGATGCATATGGTTTTAAGCATTCTTGTCAAATATAAATAAGGAAAATATCAGAGAAAATAAGAAGAAATGACATTTAAAGTGAGATCTGAATGTTGAGTAGGAATTAGCCAGGACAAGAGAGTGAAGAAAGGAAAAGGAATCAAAAGAAGAAATACTCAAACCCCACAAAAAAAAATGAATGAAGGCCACGATGTGGAAATGAGCAGTGGATAAGGAAGAACAAACAGTACAGCATGGGGAGCAAAGGAAAATGAGTGTGTGACTTGTGTACCTGTGTTAATTTGATGCATTCTACATACCTGGATATAGCTGGATATACCTGGATATACCTACATACCAGGTATAGGTACTGAGAAACAGGTAATAAGGTGGAGGCTATGGATTTACCAAATGTAGAGCTTGCATCGAGTTGTTTTGTTGGCAGTGATGATGAGCACTGATTTATCAAGTTAGTGGTAGAGCATGTATGCACAAGCCTGATCCCCACAGTAAGTAGAACCAATTCATTGAGTATTAATCCATGGGTTTGGCCTAAGGGTTCTTAGGTTCTAATGGACTGAACAAACCTATCTCATTATGTCGATATTGATGATATTGATTGTCTTTCTTAAGAGCAGTTATTACTCAAAATGGCATCATCTCTTTGTCTATTTGTTTTCAGTGGATTTCAGGGAAATGTTACACATAGCCTCAAAGTTTTGTTTAAAGTTCTGAGAAAGATAGAATGTGAATTGCGTCCTCCCCAAAACTGCAGTGGTGCTAGTAAATGAAAATTGAATTTTATAGTATAACATTCTAATGAACATTTACCACTTAGCGAAATAAAGACCAGTAGGGAAAATACTGAGAGGAAAGAATCATGTAGCATTTGCATTTGATGCTTAACCATTGGCAAAGTCCTCTAGAAAATCTGACCTAAAAAGAAACATTAATTAAATTCATCTTTCCATGTATGCCTTGTGGGAATTATCTACATCAAAGCCATATGAAAAAATAGCAGACTCCAATTATTCCATGAATCTTATGCTTTTTAAAAAATACAAATATTGATTTGCAAGTAAGTTATAGCACTAGGTAGAATTTTCCTTTAATTATATGAGTTAGATAAAGATTTTCTAAATAAATCATTTATACATTCATCAAGCATTTATTAGGAATCTTGCATACAGAAAGCACTACACAGGTGCTACAAGAAGTATAAAGATGTATAAAACACAGTCTTTATTTTCAAGGACTATACAACATCTGCAGTAGGATGTGTGATTATAGAAAAACGGTGACAGCTTTCAGTTTAATAAAATCCAAATTGAGCACAAGGCAAGATAAAAATAACACAGTTTGAGTGCTCATGAGTCTGGTACCAGAACCAATTTTAATCCACATTATTATATCATGTGATTTAAATAAGAGGCAATTATTTGTACCCCAGAATACATGGCTTATCATGTCACCACAATGACTCACTCTACCTGACATGAAATCCCTCCAAGACTCCCTGATAAGTGAAACAATAAGAACAGGGGGTTGAGTCAATAAACCCAAGTTAGAACTTATTTATATAAGGTACATTTGGTTGAAAAGATGACATTTCAGCTGCCTTTCATTTCAAGCTTCCTGATATCACTAATGTTAATATTGCTTAATATATTCAATTAGTTGGTTCGGCAAGTCTGTCTGCGGCATTATCTTAGTCAAGAAGTAGAATTTTAAAGGCGCTGTGAAGAAGGCCTGTTATCCAGGATCTGATAACATTGTTATTTTATTATTATTATTTTTTACATCCTGAGAGAGGCAAGTAAAATTAAGCTTTTAACTAATCTTCCTCTTCAATTTTTATGCTTGGACTTGTAAAGACAATATGTAATACCTACACTACGAGATGTCATTATCCCTTTAGATGACTGGTGAAATTATACATATACATATATTTGTAGCAATATACATGCAAATGCATATTTCTATGACACTTATACGCTAGTCCCCTCTTACCCAAGGTTTTGCTTTCTGTGGTTTCAGTTACTCACAGTCAACTGTGGTCAGAAAATGGAAAATTCCAGAAATAAACAATTCATATGGTTTTAAATTGCACATCGTTCTAAGGAGCATGACAGAAATCTCATACTATCTGCTCCATCCCACCTGGGATTTGAACCATCCCTTTGTCCAGCATATCCACAAACGCTCTGCACCTGTTACTCACCTAGGAGCCATCTCAGTTACCAGGGGAGTGTCATGGAATCACATTGCTTCTGTTCTGGTAACCCTTATTTCACTTAATAATGGCCCCTAAGCACAAGAGTAGTGGTGCTGGCATATTGTTAGACTTGTTCTATTTTATTATTAGTTATTGTTAAATTTATAAATTAAACTTTAAACCAAATTTATAAATTAAACTTTATCATAGGTAAGTATATACAGGAAAAACATAGTATATACAGGGTTTGGTACTATCTATGATTTCAGGCATCCACTATGGGTCTAGAATGTGTCCCCAGTGAATAAGGGGGAACTACTACATATATACTATGCATCTCTATCATTGTGATACAATTATTTCTACTGTGCTATGAAATTTGTTATAAACTCTCACACACGTATATTTTTGATCAAAACAGTTTATACCATGACAGATGGTCTATCCACCATGATACATTTAATAACTTGAGACTTGCATTGGTACAGTAGATTATTTAATATTAAGTTCATTAGAGATAACATCTCATCACTGTGGTCTCCCCAAGGACTTGGAACAGATTGATACTGAAACAAAGTAACACCTTATAGTCCAGAAGTCCATAATCGGATTGCCTGGACTCCGGGGATGTGGATAGGACAGCAGAATTTCACTTAATAGGCCACTCAAAAAGTTTTCATCATGAGTTCTACATTTATCTGGAGGAACTGAACTTAAACAGCAGGAAGGCAGCTTAAGAATATCTGCCTTTTGGCAAATTGTATAAAGGCCTTTTACCAGGAGATTTGGAGACAACAAGAGAGGCAACGAACAAGACGGTTATATTTCTGAACTTAATTTGAATTATTATTATAGTAAAATAAAATTTATCAAATGAACACTAAATAGCATTGGGGTGAGAGAAAGAAGCAAAGCTTTCATCAGTAAAATCTGGGACAGCTGCAGCCCCTCACAAGAGTATCCCCTGTGAATTGTAAGGCTTTTGTAACATGTGACCTTGTACTATTTATAAAAACGAGAGTATTCCTCTAAGAGCCAAGATCTAAGGAATAAAACACAATTGATGTTTCATAGAGTTTGGAGAGAGTATAATGAACCTCTGATGTTAGAAAATGATACCAATTTTGACCTTTATAGCTCTGGAATGGAATCTGGCAATGGATGAGATGAAAGTTTTCCAAAAAATTAACCTCAGCCTTTCTTCCACATCAATATTATTCATTAATTCTGGGAATTTGTCTTTGGATTGCATTTTTTTTCCTCCTCTTATTTATTGCACGCTAGAAGTCTCTGAGGTGGGTCATGATAACATAGTGAAAGAAAAAAAATAGCATCTACTTAATTAGCCCCTACTAGTTATTTGCACAGCACTGCACAAGCAGCATCTCATTATTCTCCCAGTGCCCCTGTGAGCCGGGTGTTAAGCTAATAGAGGTGAGGAAACCGAGACATAGAGATGTAGGTAACTCATGGAGCTGGGATGTAATCTCCAGTTATCTGATTCCAAAGCTTGTGATATTTGTCACTGCACTGTAGTAATTCAGCACTAGGAGACAATCTGTGACCTTAAGACTTCCTTTTCACTGGCCTTTTAATTAGAGAACTAAACAGATGTCAGAAAACTTTGATATTGTTGTTCAACTTAAAAAGTGGTGGGCTATATGCAACAAAACTCCAGGAACAGTGCAGGGTAAAGAAGTCACGCACCGGAGATAGGGTGGAGCCAAGATGGCCGAATAGGAACAGCTCCAGTCTACAGCTCCCAGCGTGAGCAACACAGAAGACGGGTGATTTCTGCATTTCCATCTGAGGTACTGGGTTCATCTCACTAGAGAGTGCCAGACAGTGAGAGCAGGACAGTGGGTGCAGCGCACCGTGTGCAAGCCGAAGCAGGCCAAGGCATTGCCTCACTCGAGAAGCGCAAGGGGTCAGGGAGTTCCCTTTCCTAGTCAAAGAAAGGGGTGACAGACAGCACCTGGAAAATCGTGTCACTCCCACCCTAATACTGCGCTTTTCTAACGGGCTTAAAAAATGGCACACCAGGAGATTTTATTCCGCACCTGGCTCAGAGGGTCCTATGCCCACGGAGTCTCACTGATTGGTAGCAAAGCAGTCTGAGATCAAACTGCAAGGCAGCAGCCAGGCTGCAGGAGGGGCGCCTGCCATTGCCCAGGCTTGATTAGGTAAACAAAGCAGCCGGGAAGCTCCAACTGGGTGGAGCCCACCACAGCTCAAGGAGGCCTGCCTGCCTCGGTAGGCACCTCTGGGGGCAGGGCACAGACAAACAAAAAGACAGCAGTAACCTCTGCAGACTTAAATGTCCCTGTCTGACAGCTTTGAAGAGAGTGGTGGGTCTCCCAGCACGCAGCTGGAGATCTGAGAATGGGCAGACTGCCTCTTCAAGTGGGTCCTTGACCCCCGAGCAGCCTAACTGGGAGGCACCCCCCAGTAGGGGCGGACTGACACCGCACATGGCCAGGTACTCCTCTGAGACAAAACTTCCAGAGGAACGATCAGGCAGCAGCATTTGCGGTTCACCAAGATCCGCTGTTCTACAGCCACCGCTGTTCTGCAGCCACTGCTGCTGATACCCAGGCAAACAGGGTCTGGAGTGGACCTCTAGCAAACTTCAACAGACCTGCAGCTGAGGGTCCTGTCTGTTAGAAGGAAAACTAACAAACAGAAAGGACATCCACACCAAAAACCCTTCTGTACGTCACCATCATCAAAGACCAAAAGTAGATAAAACCACAAAGATGGGGAAAAAACAGAGAAGAAAAACTGGAAACTCTAAAAAGCAGAGTGCCTCTCCTCCTCCAAAGGAACGCAGCTCCTCACCAGTAACGGAACAAAGCTGGACGGAGAATGACTTTGACGAGCTGAGAGAAGAAAGCTTCAGACGATCAAACTACTCCGAGCTACAGGAGAAAATTCAAACCAATGACAAAGAACTTAAAAACTGTGAAAAAAAAATTAGACGAATGGATAACTAGAATAACCAACGCAAAGAAGTCCTTAAAGGAGCTGATGGAGCTGTAAGCCAAGGCTCGAGAACTACGTGAAGAATGCAGAAGCCTCAGGAGCCGATGCAATCAACTGGAAGAAAGGGTATCAGTGATGGAAGACGAAATGAATGAAATGAGCAAGAAGGGAAGTTTAGAGAAAAAAGAATAACAAGACAGGAACAAAGCCTCCAAGAAATATGGGACTATGTGAAAAGACCAAATCTACATCTGATTGGTGTACCTGAAAGTGACGGTGAGAATGGAACCAAGTTGGAAAACACTCTGCAGGATATTATCCAGGAGAACTTCCCCAATCTAGCAAGGCAGGCCAACATTCAGATTCAGGAAATACAGAGAATGCCACAAAGATACTCCTCAAGAAGAGCAACTCCAAGACACATAATTGTCAGATTCACCAAAGTTGAAATGAAGGAAAAAAATGTTAAGGGCAGCCAGAGAGAAAGGTCAGGTCACCCACAAAGGGAAGCCCATCAGACTAAAGCAGATCTCTCAGCAGAAACTCTACAAGCCAGAAGAGAGTGGGGACCAATATTCAACATTCTTAAAGAAAAGAATTTTCAACCCAGAATTTCATATCCAGCCAAACTAAGCTTCATAAGTGAAGGAGAAATAAAATCCTTTAGAGACAAGCAAATGCTGAGAGATTTTGTCACCACCAGGCCTGCCCTAAAAGAGCTACTGAAGGAAGCACTAAACATGGAAAGGAACAACCGGTACCAGCCACTACAAAAACATGCCAAAATGTAAAGACCATCAATGCTAGGAAGAAACTGCATCAACTAACGAGCAAAATAACCAGCTAACATCATAATGACAGGACCAAATACACACATAACAATATTAACTTTAAATGTAAATGGACTAAATGCTCCAATTAAAAGACACAGACTGGCAAATTGGATCAAGGGACAAAATCCATCAGTGTACTGTATTCAGGAAACCCATCTCACGTGCAGAGACACACATAGGCTCAAAATAAAGGGATGGAGGAAGATCTACTAAGCAAATGGAAAACAAAAAAAGGCAGGGGTTGTAATCCTAGTCTCTGATAAAACAGACTTTAAACCAACAAAGATCAAAAGAGACAAAGAAGGCCATTACATTATGGTAGAGGGATCAATTCAACAAGAAAATCTAACTATCCTAAATATATATGCATCCAATACAGGAGCACCCAGATTCATAAAGCAAGTCCTTAGTGACTTACAAAGAGACTTAGACTCCCAACAATAATAATGGGAGACTTTAACACCCCAATGTCAACATTACACAGATCCATGAGACAGAAAGTTAAAAAGGATACCCAGGAATTGAACTCAGCTCTGCACCAAGCAGACCTAATAGACAACTACAGAACTCTTCACACCAAATCAACAGAATATACATTTTTTTCAGCACCACACCACACCTATTCCAAAATTGACCACATAGTTGGAAGTAAAGCACTCCTCAGCAAATGTAAAACAAGAGAAATTATAACAAACTGTCTCTCAGACCACAGTGCAATCAAACTAGAACTCAGGACTAAGAGACACTCAAAACCGCTCAACTACATGGAAACTGAACAACCTGCTCCAGAATGACTACTGGGTACATAAAGAAATGAAGGCAGAAATAAAGATGTTCTTTGAAACCAATGAGAACAAAGACACAACATACCAGAATCTCTGGGACACATTCAAAGCAGTGTGTAGAGGGAAATTTATAGCACTAAATGCCCACAAGAGAAAGCAGGAAAGATCCAAAATTGACACCCTAATGTCACAATTAAAAGAACTAGAAAAGCAAGAGCAAACACATTAAAAAGCTAGCAGAAGGCAAGAAATAACTAAAATCAGAACAGAACTGAAGGAAATAGAGACACAAAAAACCCTTCAAAAAATTAATGAATCCAGGAGCTGGTTTTTTGAAAAGATCAACAAAATCAATAGACCACTAGCAAGACTAATAAAGAAGAAAAGAGAGAAGAATCAAATAGATGCAATAAAAAATGATAAAGGGGATATCACCACCGATCCCACAGAAATACAAACTACCATCAGAGAATACTACAAACACCTCTACGCAAATAAACTAGAAAATCTAGAAGAAATGGATAAATTCCTCAACACATACACCCTCCCAAGACTAAACCAGGAAGAAGTTGAATCTCTGAATAGACCAATAACAGGATCTTAAATTGTGGCAATAATCAATAGCTTACCAACCAAAAAAGTCCAGAACCAGATGGATTCACAGCCAAATTCTACCAGAGGTACAAGGAGGAGCTTGTACCATTCCTTCTGAAACTATTCCAATCAATAGAAAAAGAGGGAATCCTCCCTAACTCACTTTATGAGGCCAGCATCATCCTGATACCAAAGCCTGGCAGAGACACAACCAAAAAAGAGAATTTTAGACCAATATCCTTGATGAACATTGATGCAAAAATCCTCAATAAAATACTGGCAAACCAAATCCAACAGCACATCAAAAAGCTTATCCACTATGATCAAGTGGGCTTCATCCCTGGGATGCAAGGCTGGTTCAACATACGCAAATCAATAAATGTAATCCAGCATATAAACAGAACCAAAGACAAAAACCACATGAATATCTCAATAGATGCAGAAAAAGCCTTTGACAAAATTCAACAACCCTTCATGCTAAAAACTCTCAATAAATTAGGTATTGATGGGACGTATCTCAAAATAATAAGAGCTATCTATGACAAACCCACAGCCAATATCATACTTAATGGGCAAAAACTGGAAGCATTCCCTTTGAAAACTGGCACAAGACAGGGATGCCCTCTCTCACCACTCCTATTCAACATAGTGTTGGAAGTTCTGGCCAGGGCAATTAGGCAGGAGAAGGAAATAAAGGGTATTCAATTAGGAAAAGAGGAAGTCAAATTGTTCCTGTTTGCAGATGACATGATTGTGTATCTAGAAAACCCCATCGTCTCAGCCCAAAATCTCCATAAGCTGATAAGCAACTTCAGCAAAGTCTCAGGATACAAAATCAATGTACAAAAATCACAAGCATTCTTATACACCAATAACAGACAAACAGAGAGCCAAATCATGAGTGAACTCCCATTCACAATTGCTTCAAAGGAATAAAATACCTAGGAATCCAACTTACAAGGGATGTGACGGACCTCTTCAAGGGGAACTACAAACCACTGCTCAATGAAATAAAAGACGATACAAACAAATGGAAGAACATTCCATGCTCATGGATAGGAAGAATCAATATTGTGAAAATGGCCATACTGCCCAAGGTAATTTATAGATTCAATGCCATCCCCATCAAGCTACCAATGACTTTCTTCACAGGATTGGAAAAAACTACTTTAAAGTTCATATGGAACCAAAAAAGAGCCTGCATCAGCAAGTCAATCCTAAGCCAAAAGAACAAAGCCGGAGGCATCACGCTACCTGACTTCAAACTATACTACAAGGCTACAGTAACCAAAACAGCATGGTACTGGTACCAAAACAGATATAGACCAATGGAACAGAACAGAGCTCTCAGAAATACTGCCACATATCTACAACCATCTGATCTTTGACAAACCTGACAAAAACAAGAAATGGGGAAAGGATTCCCTATTTAATAAATGGTGCTGGGAAAACTGGCTAGCCATATGTAGAAAGCTGAAACTGGTTCCCTTCCTTACACCTTATACAAAAATTAATTCAAGATGGATCCAGGACTTACATGTTAGACTGAAAACCATAAAAACCCTAGAAGAAAACCTAGGCAAAACCATTCAGGACATATGCATGGGCAAGGACTTCATGTCTAAAACACCAAAAGCAAAGGCAACAAAAGCCAAAATTGACAAATGGGATCTAATTAAACTAAAGAGCTTCTGCACAGCAAAAGAAACTACTGTCACAGTGAACAGGCAACCTACAAAATGGGAGAAAATTTTTGCAACCTACTCATCTCACAAAGGGCTAATATCCAGATTCTACAATGAACTCAAACAAATTTACAAGAAAAAAACAACCCCATCAAAAAGTGGGTGAAGGATATGAACAGACACTTCTCAAAAAAGACATTTATGCAGCCAAAAAACCCATGAAAAAATGCTCATCATCACTGGCCATCAGAGAAATGCAAATCAAAACTGCAATGAGATACCATCTCACACCAGTTAGAACGGCAATCATTAAAAAGTCAGGAAACAGGTGCTGGAGAGGATGTGGAGAAACAGGAACACTTTTATACTGTTGGTCGGACTGTAAACTAGTTTAACCATTGTGGAAGTCAGTGTGGCGATTCCTCAGGGATCTAGAACTAGAAATACCATTTGACCCAGCCATCCCATTACTGGGTATATACCCAAAGGATTATAAATCATGCTGCTATAAAGACACATGCACATGTATGTTTATTGCGGCACTATTCACAATAGCAAAGACTTGGAACCAACCCAAATGTCCAACAACGATAGACTGGATTAAGAAAATGTGGCACATATACATCATGGAATACTACGCAGCCATAAAAAATGAAGAGTTCATGTCCTTTGTAGGGACATGGATGAAGCTGGAAACCATCATTCTCAGCAAACTGTCGCAAGGACAAAAAACCAAACACCGCATGTTCTCACTCATAGGTGGGAATTGAACAATGACAACACATGGACACAGGAAGGGGAACATCACACTCTGGGGACTGTTGTCGGGTGGAGGGAGGGGGGAGGGAAAGCATTAGGAGATATACCTAATGCTAAATGACGAGTTAATGGGTGCAGCACACCAACATGGCACATGTATACATATGTAACAGACCTGTACATTGTGCACATGTACTCTAAAACTTAAAGTATAATAATAATAAAAAAAGAGAGAGAGAGAGAAGATGCACATCAATCACCAAGCAAAACAGGAGGGAAGGAATATTTTCCCCTAGTAAAAGTAAACTTTCAAACCTAGCTGAAATAAACTTATGGTTAAATATTGTAAAAAAAAAAAAAAAAAAAAAAAAAAAATCACGCACCAAGTGTCTGTGGTCTAATAGTGTAAGACATTATTGATAGTTGCAAGAATTGCATTACGAAAAGGATAATAACTAACACAGAGCCCCTTCTAACTGGCACACACCCTTCTGAACACTCTCTATGGATTAACTCTAATGAGCACTCTGAGGTAGGTAATATTATAATTTCTTTTTTCCTGATGAGGAGATTAAACAGCAAGGTAAAAAAGTCTCTAAAGGTAGAAGCTGGACTCAACCCCAGCAGACTCCCCCAGAGTCTGGGATCTTCACACCCTATTGCCTTAGTATCATGATTTGGCTCGACTTCTTGCTCTAAAGGAATTGGTGCTAGCTTTCATTAAAAGTCAAGAGTACCACCCATCTGTGGCTACTTCGAATGTGACTGGGGGGAAAGTGAATCAGCCAGATAAGAAGCTGCTCTCTCGTCTCCTTAAAGCATCAGAGTAGGATGTGACCAACAATCAGAGTGGGGTGTGACATCTCCAGTGGAAGCGGGAAAAGACAATTGTTTAGGAGCACTTACCACACTTACCACCTCCTGACCAGGGTATCTTGTAGGGATTCAGTATGTATTTTTTTGTATCTGACATTTGACATAAAAGGTTTTATCACCAATTCTACCACTTGTCCTAATTCCTTGTTTTGAAAATAAATGCTGCTGCATTTTGTTTGTTTTAATAGTTTTGGTATGGTGACACATTTATATTGTTCAAAAACTAAAACAATTGAAAAATAGAGATATATTCAGCAAAATGTCTTGATCCTACCTCTTATCCCCATTTACCAGTTCACAGCCCACATTGCCTGACCCCAGGAAAGTCCTTCTAATTATGTATCCTTCACTTACTAATACTATGCAAGCAAATGTGAATATGTATTATTTCTCCCCATTTTTTGACCAAAGTTATCATATTATATATACTGTTCTCTCTCCTTTTTGAAAAATTAATAGTTTACTTGGAATCTATCCAGACTAGCACAGGATTTTTTTAAAGTGTCACTTCATAGTGTTCCATTGTTTGAATGATCCTAATTTTTCTAATCTTTATTAAACTCTTAATGGACATTTGAGTTGCTTCCAGTATTTCGCTGTTACAAATTCTGACATGCGGGATAACCTTGAATATATTTCATTTAACACATGTGCAGGTATAGCTGCAGGATTAATTCCCAAATTGGAAATGGGTCAAAAGTTATACAAATTCATAATTTTGATAGGTAATATCAAATTGACTATTACAGGTTTTCCCAAGCTTTTTCACATCATAAAACTCATAGGAAATGCAACCATCAAATAACCCATGGGATAAACTTGAAAAGATTTAGAGCTGTATAAAAGATGACTTATGGCCAAAGGCAAGAAGCGTAGGAGCTGTAAATTGATCGGGATCCATCTAGCTGCCAGAGGGCTGAGGTGATCAATATCTCCCAGGACAGTGGTGGGAAAGCTCCCTGGCAATGCATGCTTCTATCAGCACTGTAGGACAATGCCTATGTCCCTCAGCATCACCAAAGGGGCCTTCTAAACTGTGGTATCTGAATTAACCTGATAGATGAAGAATGGTATATCTACGTGGTTTTACTGTATTAAAAGTGAACCTCATCTTTTTTTATATGTTTGAGCTGTCCATTCAATCTATTTCTTTTTTTTTTTTTCTATACAATTATCTTTTACTGTTAATTTGGGGAAGCTATTTATATATTAGGAAAAAGTATTCCTGTGTCTGTGGTAGAAATTGCAATTATTCCCTGCCCCATGTATATTCGTCTCTTTATTCATTATGTTATTGTTGTGTTGGTTTTTCTTTTTCATTTTTGCTTGAAGAAGTTTCTTTTCTGTTTTCTTATGTCATCTTTTATCATTTAGGTTTTGAGTTGTTGGTTAAAAGGGAATCCCCCACTTCAGATTTATGTATGGATTTTCCTATTTTTCCTACTATTTTAAAAACTTTTCTTAATTTTAATAAAGAAATGTGTTTATTTGGAATTATTCCTGATGTTTAGTGTGAGGTGTAGATTCCACCATTTTTTTTTTCCAGATGTGTAATACCAACATCATTTACTAAAAAGCCCATCTTTGTTTTCACATTTGGGAAGTGTTTTAATTTTTCTTCATGTTGGTTTCTACACTTTTATTACGTGTATTTCTAGAGGTATTGTTTTGCTGTTTTAAATATTTTCCCATTATATATTCTAACTCCTTGCTATTTGTACATAATAATCTATTACTTTATATTTAGTAACATTTTTACACTATAACTTTCCTGAATTCTCTCACTCTTTGTAGTGTTTAAGTTGATTATCTTGGGTTTTCAAATATACTATTCATGTCATCTCAACACAGTTACTGTTTACAGTGTTTACGCTTCTAATTTTCCTTCATTGTCTAATCATATTGACTAGTAATTCCAGTACTTTGTGGGATAGTAGAGGTGGTAGTCAACATCTTGATTTTGATTTCAGTAGTATGTCTCAACTGAGCATGATATTGACTTTTTGGATTGAGGTAAATATGTTTCCTATGCTTAAAAAGTGTGTATACATCCTTACTGACTGAATATTTTTGTGAAGAATGGCTGTTATGCTTTGTCAAATGTCTCTTTGACATATATGAAAATGATCACAATGTTTCTTCAACATTATAAGCTATGTATTAACACATTTCTGAATAACAAACCATCCTTGTACTTAAAGAAACACTGTATTGAGGTATGAATACATACAAAAAGCTGTACATATTTCACATGTACAACTTGATGACTTTGGAGTTAAGAATACACCAGTGAAACCATCACTACATCAATTATCATATCTCTCTCTTCCAAAAAGGCTTCTCCCACCATCTTTGTTTACCTATATTTGTGATAAGAACACTTAACATAAGATCTACCCTTTTGGCAAAATTTTCAGTATACAATACCATACTGTTAATTATGGACATGATGCTGCACAGTAGATCAGTAGAAATTATTCATCTTGCATAGCTAGAACTTTGTACCTTTTGAAAAGTATCTCCTTGTTTCCCCTTCCCCTCAGACCCTGGCAACCATCATTTTACTGTCTGCTTCTATGAGTTTGACTATTGTAGATTTCTCATATAAATAGGATCATGTAGTATTTGTCCTTCTGTGTCTGGCTTATTTCACCTAGCATAATGCCCTCCAGGTTCATTCATGTTGTTGCAGATGGCAGGATTTCCTTCTTCTTAAAGGCTGAATAATACCACATTGTCTGTGTATACCACATTTTCTTTATCCATTTATCTGTTCGTGTACATTTAGGTTGTTTCCACATCTTGACTGTTGTGCATAATGATGCGATCAACGAGCATGTGAATGCAGATATTTCTTAAAGATTCTAATTTTATTTTCTTTGAGTAAATACCCAGAAGTGGAATTGCTGGATCATATGGTAGTTATACTTTTCATTTGAGAATGCTGCATCCTGTTTTTCTTAATGGCTGTACCAATTTACATTCCCACCAACACTGTGCAAAGACTCCTTTTTCTCCACATAGTCGCTAACACTTGTTATCTTTTGGTTTCTTTGATAATAGGCATCCTAATAGATGTAACATGATATTGATTTGCATTTTCCTGATGGTTGTACTTCTAAAATCTTCTTTCAAAATAATGATTCTTTTTACATACTTTTGAATTTCATTTGCTAAAAATTTTAGAATGTTTTTGTTATTATTGATAACAGATTAATCTATATAGTTTTTTTTGTGTGCACATCTTTATCAGGTTTCATTACCAATTTTATACCCCCTTTCCAAAATGAATTGAGATTTTCTTTTGTCTAGTCTTTTCCAGAACAATTTAAATAGCATTGGTATTATTTGCTTTTAAAATATTTGAATTCCTTTATGAAACTGTCCAAATCTGCCACTTTGCTGGGAATAACCTTTGCATAATTTTGTCTATTGCCTTTATTGAAGTAGTTCTGTTTAGATTTTCTGTCATTTGTGTTGTCATTTTGTGTAAATCATATTTTTTTCATCCAAGCTTTTCAATTTAGAATTCTTATGAATCTTTAATTTCTTCTATTCCTATGTGGTCATTTCCTTTTTACTATCTGGTTGTGTGTTTCATTGCTTGTTTGTTTTTAATTGCAGTTTTTTTCTTTTTCTTGATTAAGTTAGATAATATTTTACTATTTTTTTCAAAGAAACATCTTTTGTTTTTATATACCAAATCCATCATTTTTCTAATTACTAGAATTAGAAAATACAGGCCATAGGGTCTCTGTCACAACTGTGCCATTATAACATGAAAGTAGCTGTAGATCATTTGCAGATGAGCGAGTATGACTGCATTCCAGAAAAACTTTATTGTAGATTCTGCATCCTAAATTTTATACAATTTTCACGTGTTGAACTATTATCCTCTGATTTTTTTCAACAATTAAAAAATGCGAAAACCATATTTTGTAGGTCATATGAAAACAGGCATTGAATGAGATTTGGCATAAGCTGTGGTTTGCTGGTCTCTATTTCATCTGCTGTATCTTTAGACATTCATTTCTTTATATGGTATCTATTGGTTCCTTAATGTGAATAGTAAAAACTTTCCTGTATTTTCTTCCTGTACCCTTCTTTCTTCAATGTTATTCTGTCAACATTTTCTTTCTTTTACTTCATACTGTTAAATAAGAATGTACTTCCATTGTGTGAGTTATGAACATTTATTGACAAGCTTTGACCCTAAGTGATCATAGATAATGCAACTTATAAATGTATCCACCTTCTTTTCAATATTTTTCTTCAACTTTTTTGGTGTATAATATTTATATAGTCAGAATATACAACAATTTATTTGCCACATTCTACTCTCCAGAGTCTATGCCAACTCCCCAGAACCAAGCCAGCTCCCAGAGGCATTCTGGACCCAGGGTTCTTGGCACAAAATTTCCAAAAGACAGAGGGTCCCTTTGAGCCATGTCCTGGAACCTGAAACCAAGCCAAAATAGCTTTGAGAGAGAGAGCGTGCGTGGCAAAGCAGCTTCAGAACATTTTGTGTCATATATTTGCTGCTAGCCTCTTTGCTTTATAATCTTTTAAACTTTATTTTTTCCTCCTGAATGTTTTAGTCTGTTATTGTTAGTCATTTCAAAGAGGCTCCTATTAAAGCTTTTGTGAGGCTAGACTCTCATTCCTCTCCATGGCTTCCCGCTCAGCACTCTGCCTCTGCTCTCTCTAGCTCTGTTTACTTATAAGCTTGCTTTTGGCAGTCAGTTAAGTTTATTTTACATTTTACTGAAGTGTGAGGGGAAATACTGATAGAAAAACTAAACAAAATTCCTCACAAAATGGTATCACCCGAATGAGCAAAGTACCTGAAAGAGTCAAACATCCGGGTGCCCAGAACTTAAAGCCTGATTTTTCTTCCCTATAAGGCACCCTTAGCCTTTCTTCCTGCTCTGGCTGGTGATAAGATCATCTGAAAATTAATCAGTAGTGGAGAGGGGCCTGTATTCATTGTCAACCCACATTGCAAGTCTGGGTCTCTGCTTCCCCATGTTTCTTGTCTGTATTGCCATAAGCTTATCAGAATAGGGTGTACAAACTCCTTTGTTGCTGCTTTAAAGAAATGGAAATGCTAGATCTTCTATTAAGTTAAAGGGAAATTTTTCCTACTCCTGACCCAGCTATCAATGATTATTGTAAAATAACATCAAAGAATTTATCCCTTAATATAGTCATGTGTCTCACCATAAGATGTATGTTTTCAAAGAAAAATTACAGTAGCCATATATAAAACTAAAGGTACATAAAATGATAGTGAACACATAAGTTTACATGATTTTTCATGGCAATTCTAGTAGAGTTGACATTAAGCAGACAAGAATGTGGAGATATATATGATTATATAAAGAGATACACACACATATGTCTTTCTTTAAATATTTCAATAGCTGATATACATTCTTATAATCTTTTTGGAGTAATGTGGCAATTTAACACAAAGGAAAAATATAATTTATAAGAGCAAATACAGTCATCTGAAAAGATTATTCCCAAAGGATATAAAAAGGGGCTGAATGTTATCTGTGAAACAGAGGAGGAAGAACAAGAACTTAGAAATATTGGTGAAAATAAAAATACAGACAGACTAAGGGACCCTACATAAGAAATTGGAATAACCCATGACAAAGATGTTGTACAAAGTAGACGCCAGCTCTGTTTCCAGCTTTCTACATCCCCGAGTACAACTTAATGTCTTCATGTGAATTTTAGTGTGTCTTTTTTTTACAATAAAATTATCATGGGTTATCGATAACACATTATGTTACTGGCCTGGGCCTTCCACATTCAGGGGTATTTCAGATGTCCACTGAGATATAGATACCACTGCTGAAATTCATTTCCCTGAGAAATGCAATAGTATTAGTCAAAGTAGCTATATAATGGTGAAGTAACAAACATTCCTAAAATATTAGTGTCTTATAACAACAAAAGTATGCTCTGGCTACCTGTCCATTTTGAATTTACTGTGGAATCTATTCCACATCTCTTTACTCCAGGTCCCAAGCTGGGAGCCCTGTCTGTAACAGGAGTATAGCTAGATCCTCTGATGGCAGAAAGTAGGAAGTGTACAGAATCTCAAACTGTCTCCTAGCACTTGTACTCAAATTTCACTTTCCAAAAACAACTTAAAATAACACGCCCAACATCAAGGAGATAGGGAAATGCAATCTTAGCAAGTAACTGGAATGAGGAAAGCTACATTATCATTGAGCAGCCCTAGTGCCTACCTGAAATGAACACTTTGATCATATTTCCATTGTATTTTTATGTTACTAATAAGAACAAAGAAATTTAAACTATTAAATGTTATAGTTCATTAAATTTTAACTATTTAATTTGATCTCCCAAAGTTAAAAATAAAACCTTCTAGGATATATTTTAAATGAAATGTGGTAACTTCCAACAAGAAGATAGAAAACATAGGCTGAAAAGATTTGGAGTAGTAAGAGAAATTTTGTTAAGACACTTCTCCCCTATTTTCCCTATAGAACAAAAGCCTTAATCTGCAGAGGGAAGGGGGAAGGGCAACAAGTACCATTGCCTATTGCAAATAGGAGAAGAGAATGGGAAAATAATCTCTATCCCTCAGGAAGGGGCAGGAATACAGGCTGAGCTCAGGACTACATGGTCAGTGGTGAAACCCAGAAACACAAGATGTAGGTACTTGATGATGACCTAAGAGTGAAGCTTAGTCAAAACAGAGAATGCCCCAATCTTCCATGACAGGCTAACCAGCATGTAGAAAGAAGTAACTTTCAAGAAATAGACCCTCTCTATACGTGGCATTAAGGAAAGACTAAAAGCTGATATTTGAGTAGATACTGAAAATAAAGAGGGTAAAAACCTTCAGGCAAAATAGTCCCCACTCTAACACAAAGCATCACTAGAAGAATATGTGGTGCACTGAGGATAACCATTGTAAAAACAAACCTAAAACACAGCTCAACTTCTAATTAGATTAACCCTAACCTCTCCACAATAAAATCCTCGCAAAAGAAAACTATGCTCATTTCCAAGAAAAAATGCTGTGTACCTCAGCCTTTACTACAGTACACAAAATTTCAAGTCTTCAGTAAAAAGTACAAAGCATAAGAAAAATAAAGAAAAAAGTCCAGCACATTCCTAAGAAACAAAGCAATCCTTAAAAGCAGACTCAGATATGACATAGAGATTGGAACTATCTGCCAAGGAGTGTCAATTAAATATGATTCAGATATTAAAAGGTCTAATTGAAAAGGTAAATAACATGCAATATCAATTGGGTAATTTCAGCAGAGAGGAACAAACTGTAAGAAAGTATTAATTAGAAGTGCTAGAAATGAAAAATAGAGTAATGGAGTAAAGAACACCCTTAACAGGTTCATAGCAGAGTTGACATAGTCAAGGTATATTCATTTGGTAAGGCTGCCACAAAAAAGTAGCACAGACTGAGTAGCTTAAAAAACAGAAATTTATTTTCTCACAATTCTGTAGTCAGAAGTCTAATATTAAGGTGTTGGTAGAGTTGGTTTCTTCTGAGGTTTCTTGGGGCCAGGGATCAGGGGCAGACAATTCAGCTCATAACATAAGAAAGATATAGCAAACTTCAAGATACACTCATAAAAATTACAAAAACTGAAACTAAAAAAGAAACTTCAACAGAAAAGCTCATTCAAGAGCATATGTAATTTTATATTACAAAAAATATATGTAATTGGAATCTCAGAAGAAAAAAACAGAGCAGAGAAAAAATAATAATGATGAAGAATTTTTTTTTAATTAGACAGAGATCAAACCTCAGACATAAGAAACTCAGGAAACCCCTAGCAGGAAAAATACCAAACATACAAGCATGCATGTACACCACACCACACCTATGGCTATAATATTCAAACTGATTTTTTTTTTAAGGCAAAGAAAATCTTGAAATAAGTCAGAGAAAAAGACATTATCTTGACAAGAATGAGGATAAGAATTAAAGCAGCTTTTAGTCAGAAACCATACAAACTAGAAAACAAGGAAGTAAAATATTTAAACGTCTGAAAGAAAAAGAATGCTGTCAGTCAATAATTCCGTGTTTCTAAAAAATATTTTTAAATTCTTAAGAAAATAAGAACATTTTTCAGGTTAATAAAAATAAACTGATAACTTGACAGAAGACTTGCTCAAGAAATATTGGATGAAGTTCTTTGGGTAGAGAAATACAACAGAAAGAAACTTGCATCTACACAAAGAGAAGAAGAGTGCTAGAGAAGATCGCATGAAAATGTTTTCTTATTTTTAATTACTCTAAAAGACAATTGACTGTTCACACCATAGATAGTAGGAATATGTAGTATGTCCATAGCACATACAAAAGCCCAGTGTATGGCAACAATAGCACAATCAATGAAAAGGGCAAATTGGGAACATACTGTTATAAAACTCTTACACTACACATGAAGAGATAATCTTATTTAAATGTAGACATTGATTGATTAAATATGCATGTTGTAAACTCTAAGGACCACCGCTAAACAGTTCTTAAGAGGTATAAATAATATGTCAATAAAGGAAATAAAATAAATCATTAAAAATGACCAAAAAGACAGAAGGGGAAGAAAAAACAAAATAGAAGGAACAAATAGAAAATAGTTAGAGAGTTAGTATATTTTAATCCATGCATATCAGTTGACATCACCAGAAGAAACAAATTGTCAGACTGGATAAAAGATCAAGATCCATGTATATGTTGTCTATAAGAAATTCACATTAAATATAGAACTATACATATGTTAAAATTAAAAGGATAAAAAAAGATATACCTACAAACATTAACTAAAAAAAAGACTAAGTAGTCATATTAGTAACAGACAAAATAGACTTCAGATTAAGAAGTATTATCAGAGATAAAGAGAGATATTATATAATGCTAAAGAGTCAGTTCTCCAAGGAGATACAAGAATGTTAATGTTATCCATCTAACAACAGAGTTTCAAAATAGATAAAGAAACAACATACAGAATGAAAGGAGAAATAAATAAATCCACAATTATGGTTGGAGACTTACATTCCTTTCTCAGTAATGCATAATACAAATAGACAGAAATCAGTAAGACTATAAAAGACCTAAAAACATTATCAAACATCTTGACCTAACTAGAATTTATAGAAAGTTTTTAGAAATCTAACAAAAAATAGAATAGACATAGAACATTCAAAAGATAAACAATACAATTTTTAAGCCTTAACAATATAAAATAGTAGAAATCATATATTCTCAGACCGTAATGGAACTAAACTAGAAATCAATAAAATAAAAATAATAAGAAACTCCCAAATGTTTTGATAAAAAAAACACCTTCAAAATAACCTATGAGTCAAAGAGGAACTCTCAAGTAAAATTTTAAAATATTTTGAACTCACAAAAAACACCCTAGAAATACAACCTATCAAAAGTTTTATGATGCTGTTATTGCAGTACACATGTGTGGAATTACATTATTCAATGTTTATATTGAAAAGAAAAAATATTTGGCAGATTAGTAACCTACGTTTCCATGGTAAGAATCTAAAGAAAGGCAAACTTCAAAATAAGCAAAAGAAAGAAAATACAAATTAAAAAAAATACATGCAGATGTCAATGAATTTAAAACAAAAGAACAATAGAGAAAATAAATAAAACTAAAAGGTGTTTCTTTGGAAAAAATTAATAAAATGTATAAAGCTGTAGCCAGAATGACCAAAAATAAAAAGGAAAATCACAAATTATTAAGAATGAAAAATGAGACATCACTAGAGAACCTACAGACATTAAAAGGCTATAAAGGGAATATTTTAAACTACTCAATGCACATAAATTTAACAACTTAAATAAAATCAACAAATACTTGAAAGATACATTATAAAACTTATTCAAAAAGGAATAATTTGAATAGTTCCATATCTGTTAAAGAAATTTATGTTTTTACTTTAAAGCCTTTCAAGAAAAAAACTCTAAGATTAGATGGTTTCACTTGAGTGTCCTACCAGATACTTAAGGAAGGAATAGTATAAAGTCTATTTAATGTTGTCTAGATAAAAGAATAGAAAGTAATTTTGGAATGCCAGCATGAAGAGCTCTATAAAGCTTCTTCATAATTATAAATCATAATTGTTGAAAATTATAAGAAGCAACTATTTCAAATTTCTAGAATTTGTCCTAGTGGATACAGCAAGTTAAGCAGATTTATTCAAGAGAATCTATCAAATCTAACTTTTGGTAAGAAAAGAGAGAGTCTATCAAATTCAATCCATGACCTTCCCCTTCCCACCACCAACTCAATGTGATGGAAGCCTTCTCTAGGAAGATGCAGTCAAGAAGATGGAGCTCCTTCTCCCAAAAGATACAGTTTAGGACTACAGTTTTCCCTGGGTGAGGCAAGTCACAAGAATTCCTTATTTATTCCCCAACTTTGTGTTACAGGAGCTGTATTCCAGACAAGTGGAGCTAAGATGTCTGAGGTTCCTTTTTTTCAGCCAGTTCCCACTTGTAGAGCTATCTCAGGAGCAAAAGACTGAGAATTCTGGACCCCAATTACCCTTGCCTTACAGTATTTAGAGGGTGGGAGTTTCATGCCAGGACAGTCAAGCTGAGAAAAACAATGGCTATCATACTTGCCCAACATACAATTTGTACAACAGTGGTATCACTCTGAGGAAGAGATCACTGTCCTCATGCCCAGGTCTAGAGCAGTGGCACAGTGAGAAAAGCAGCCCAAAAGAGCAGACAGTTCTATAGCTCTCCCAATGAGGCTGACTTTATTTAGAATACAGTGCAGAAGGTTCAAGCTTCTGAAGGTTCTCAAAATCAATGAATATTTGGCTGATCAGCAATTCAGAGGAGGCTGGTACTCCACGATAACAATAAGCAAAATTGTAAATAAGCTAGAATTTTAATTCATAAAAGGAAGGAAAGCTCCAAATAGCCCTCCTGGGATAAGAACAAGTCTCGCTCTCTGCTGGCAAGATGGCCGAATAGGAACAGCTCCTGTCTGCAGCTCCCAGTGAGACCAACGCAGAAGGTGGGTGATTTCTGCATTTCCAACTGAGACCAGGAGATGCCCTCATGTGCCTATACCACCAGGGTCCTGGGTTTCAAGCATAAAACTAGGTGGCTGTTTGGGCAGACACCAAGCTAGCTGCAGGAGTTTTTATTTGTACCCCAGTGGTGCCTGGAACCTCAGTGACACAGCCCCTGGAAAGGGGACTGAAGCCAGGGAGCCAGGTGGTCTCGCTTAGAGAATCCCACTCCCAGAGAGCCCAGCAAGCTAAGAACCACTGGCTTGAAATTCTCACTGCCAGCCCAGGAGTCTGAATTCGGCCTGGGATGAACGAGCTTGGTAGGGGGAGGGGCGTCCACCATTACTGAGGCTTGAGTAGGCAGTTTTCCCCTTCCAGTGTTAATGAAGATGCTGGGAAGTTCGGACTGTGCAGAGCTCACCATAGCACAGCAAAGTGGCTGTGGCCAGACTGCCTCTCTAGATTCCTCCTCACTGGGCAGAACATCTCTGAAAGAACGGCAGCAGCCCCATTATAGATAAAACTCCCATCTCCCTGGGACATAGCACCTGGTGGAAGAGGTGGCTGTGGGCGCAGCTTTGGTGGACTTAAGCATTCCTACCTGCTGGCTCTGAAGAGAGCAGCAGATCTCCCGGTATAGTGCTTGAGCTCTGCTAAGGGACAGACTGCCTCTTCAATTGGGTCCCTGACCCATGTGCCTCCTGACTGAGAGACAACTCCCAGCAGGGAATGACAGAAACCTCATATAGGAGAGCTCCAGCTGGCATCGGGTGGATACCCCTCTGAAATGAAGCTTCCAGAGGAAGGAGCAGACAGCAATCTTTGCTGTTCTGCAGCCTCCAATGGTGTACCCAAGAAAACAGGGTCTGGAGTGGACCTCCAGCAAATTCCAGCAGACCTGCAGAAGAGGGGCCTAACTGTTAGAAGGAAAACTAACAAACAGAAAGCAATAACATCAACATCAACAAAAAGGATGACCACAGAAAAACCCCATCCAAATGCCATCACAGCATCAAAGATCAAAGTTAGTTAAATCCACAAAGATGAATAAAAAAAACAGTGCAAAAATGTTGAAAATTCCAAGAACCAGAATCCCTCTTCTCCAAAGGATCACAAATCCTCTCCAACAAGGGCACAAAACTGGACAGGGAATGAGTTTGATGAATTGACAGAAGTAGGCTTTAGAAGGTGGATAATAACAAACTCCTTGGAGCTAAAGGAGCATGTCCTAACCCAATGCAAGGAAGCTAAGAACCTTGATAAAAGGTTACAGGAACTGCTAACTAGAATAATCGGTTGAGAGAAGATAAATGACCTGATGGAGCTGAAAAACACAGCACAAGAACTTTGTGAAGCATACACAAGTATCAGTAGCTGAATCAATCAAGTGAAAGAAAGCATATCAGAGATTGAAGATCGACTTAATGAAATAAAGCATGAAGACAAGATTAGAGAAAAAAGAATTAAAAGGAATGAACAAAGCCTCCAAAAAATATGGGACTATGTGAAAAGACTTAACCTTCAACTGGTTGATGTACCTGAATGTGATGGGGAGAATGGAACCAAGTTGGAAAACACTCCTGAGGATATTATCCAGGAGAACTTCCCCAACCTAGCAAGACAGGCCAACATGCAAATTCAGGAAATACAGAGAGCACCACTAAGACACCCCTCAAGAAGAGCAACCCCAAGACACATAATCGTTAGATTCTCTAAGGCTGAAACAAAGGAAAAAATGATAAGGGCAGCTAGAGAGAAGGGTCAGGTTACCTACAAAGGGAAGCACATCAGACTAACAGTGGATCTCTCTGCAGAAACCCTACAAGCCAGAAAAGAGTGGGGGCCAATGTTCAACATTCTTAAAGAAAAGATTTTTCAACCCAGAATTTCATATCCAGCCAAACTAAGTTTCATAAGTAAAGGAGAAATAAAATCCTTTACAGACATGCAAATGCTGAGAGATTTTGTCACCATCAGGCCTGCCTTACAAGAGCTCCTGAAGGGAGCACTAAATATGGAAAGGAAAAACTGGTACTAGCCACTGCAGAAATGTAACAAAATATAAAGACCAATGACACTGTGAAAAAAAACTGCATCAACTAATGTGCAAAATAACCAGCTAACATCATGATGACAGGATCAAATTCATACCTAACGATATTAACCTTAAATGTAAATGGGCTAAATGCCCCAATTAAAAGACACAGACTGGCAAGTTGGATAAAAAGTCAAGACCCATCAGTGTGCTGTATTCAGGAGACCCATCTCACATGCAAAGACACACATAGGCTTAAAATAAATGGACGGAGGAATATTTACCAAGCAAATGGAAAGAAAAAAAAGCAGGGGTTGCAATCCTAGTTCTGATAAACCAGACTTTAAACCAACAAAGAACAAAAAAGACAAAGAAGGACATTACAAAATGGTAAAGGGATCAATGCAACAAGAAGAGCTAACTATCCTAAATGTATAAACCCAATACAGGAGCACCCAGATTTATAAAGCAAGTTCTTAGAGATCTACAAAGAGACTTTGACTCCCACACAATAATAGTGGGAGACTTTAACACCCCACTGTCAGTATTAGATCAATGAGACAGAAAATTAGAAGGATATTCAGGACGTGAACTCAGCTCTGGACCAAATGGACCTAATGGACATCTACAGAACTCTCCACCCCAAATCAACAGAATATACACTCTTCTCAGCATCACATAGCAATCATTCTAAAATCGACCACATAATTGGAATTAAAACACTCCTCAGCAAATGCAAAATAATGGAAATCATAACAAACAGTATCTCAGACCACAATGCAATCAAATAAGAATTCAGGATTAAGAAACTCCATCAAAACTGCACAACTACATGGAAACTAAACAACCTGTTCCTGAATGACTACTGGGTAAATAACAAAATTAAGGCAGAAATAAATAAGTTATTTGAAACCAAGGAGAACAAAGACACAACATACCAGAATCTCTGGGACCCAACTAAAGCAGTGTTAAGAGGAAAATTTATAGCACTAAATGCCCTCATCAGAAAGCGAGAAAGATCTAAAACTGACAACCTAACATCACAATTAAAAGAATTAGAGAAGCAAGAGCAAACAAATTCAAAAGCTAGTAGAATACAAGAAATAACTAAGATCAGAGCAGAACTGAAGGAGATAGAGATATGAAAAACCCTTCAAAAAATCAATGAATCCAGGAGCTGGTTTTTTGAAAAGATTACCAAAATACATAGGCCACTAGCCAGACTAATAAGGAAGAAAAGAGAGAAGAAACAAATAGACACAAAAAAGTGGTAAAAGGGATATCACCACTGATCCCACAGAAATACAAACTACCATCAGACAGTACTATAAACACCTCTATGTAAATAAACTAGAAAATCTAGAAGAAATGGATAAGTTCCTGGACACATACACCCTCCCAAGACTAAACCAGGAAGAAGTTGAATCCATGAATAGACCAATAACAAGCTCTGAAATTGAGGCAGTAATTAATAGCCTATGAACCAAAAAAAGCCCAGGACCAGACAGATTCACAGCCGAATTCTACCAGAGGTACAAAGAGGAGCTGGTACCATTCCTTCTGAAATTATTTCAAACAATAGAAAAAGAGGGACTCCACCCTAACTCATTTTATGAGGCCAGCATCCTCCTGATAACAAAACCTGGCAAAGACTCACACACAAAAAAAATTTCAGGCCAATATCCCTGATGAACATTGATGCCAAAATCCTCAATAAAATGCTGGCAAACTGAATCCAGCAGCACATCAAAAAGTTCATCCACCATGATCAAGTCAGCTTCACCCCCGGGATGCAAGGCTGGTACAACATACACAAACCAATAAACGTAATTAATCACATAAACAGAACCAGCAACAAAACCACATAATTACCTCAATAGATTCAGAAAAGGCCTTTGATACAACTCAACACCCTTTTATGCTAAAAACACTCAGTAAACTAGGTACTGATGGAATGCATCTCAAAATAATAAGAGCTATCTATGACAAACCCATAGGCAATATCATACTGAATAGACAAAAACTGGAAGCATTCCCTTTGAAAACTGGCCCAAGACAGGAATGCCCTCTCTCACCACTCCTATTCAACATAGTATTGGAAGTTCTGGCCAGGGCAATCAGGCAAGAGAAAGAAATAAAGGGTATTCAAATATGAAGAGACAAACTCAAATTGTATCTGTTTGCAGGTGACATGACTGTATACTAAGAAAATCCCATCATCTCAGCCCAAAAACTCCTTAAGCTCATAAGCAACTTCAGCAAAGTTTCAGCATACAAAATCAATGTGCAGCAATCACAAGCATTCCTATACACCAATACAGACAAACAGAGAGCCAAATCATGAGTGAACTCCCATTCACAATTGCTACAAAGAAAATAAAATACCTAGGAATACTTACAAGGGATGTGGAAAAGCCTCTTCAAGGAGAACTACAAACCACTGCTCAAGGAAATCAGAGAGAACACTAACAAATGGAAAAACATTCCATGCTCATGGATAGGAAGAATCAATATTGTGAAAATGGCCATACTGCCCAAAATAATTTTTAGATTCAATGTTATTCCCATCATTCTACCATTGACTTTCTTCACAGAACTAGAAAAAAATACTTTAAATTTCATATGAAACCAAAATGGTGCTAGTGAAACTGGCTAGACATATGCAGAAAACTGAAACTGGACCCCTTCCTTACACCTTATACAAAAATTAACTCAAGATGGATTAAAGACTTAAATGTAAAACCTAAAACCATAAAAACCTTAGAAGAAAACTTAGGCAATACTATTCAGGACATAGGCATGGGCAAAGACTTCATGACTTAAACACCGAAAGCAATTGCAACAAATGCCAAAATTGACAAATGGGATCTAAGCAAACTAAAGTCCTTCTGCACAGCAAAATAAACTATCATCAGACTGAACAGGCAATCTACGGAATGGGAGAAAATTTTTGCAATCTATCCATCTGACAAAGGGCTTAAACAAATTTATAAGAGAAAAACAAAGAATTTACAAAGAACTTAAACAAATTTATAAGAGAAAAACAACCCCATCAAAAAGTGGGCAAAGGATATGAACAGACACTTCTCAAAAGAAGACATTTATGTGGCCAACAAAAGATGAAAAAAAGCTCATCATCACTAGTCATTAGATAAATGCAAATCAAAACCACAATGAGAAACCGTCTCATGCCAGCAGTTAGAATGGTGATCATTCTAACAAGTCAGAAAACAACAGAGGCTGGAGAGGATGTGGAGAAATAGGAACACTTTTACACTGTTGGTGGGAGTGTAAATTAGTTCAACCACTGTGGAAGAGAGTGTGGTGATTCCTCGAGGATCTAGAACCAGAAATACCATTTGACCCAGCAATCCCATTACTGGATATATACCCAAAGAATTATAAATCATTCTACTATAAAGACACATACATGTGTATGTTTATTGCAGCACTATTCACAATAGCAAAGACTTGGAACCACCCCAAATGCCCATCAATGATAGACTGGATGAAGAAAATGTGGTACATATACACCCTGGAATACTAGGCAGCTATAAAAAAGGATGAGTTCATGTCCTTTGCAGGGACATAGATGAAGCTGGAAACCATTATTCTCAGCAAATTAACCAAGGAACAGAAAACCAAACACCGCATGTTCTCACTCATAAGTGGGAGTTGAAAAACAGGAACACATGTACACAGGGAGGGGAACATGACACACCAGGGCCTGTCAGTGGGTGGGGCGCAAGGGGAGGGAGAGTATGAGAACAAATACCTAATGCATGCAGGGCTTAAAACCTAGATGATGGGTTGATGGGTGCAGCAAACCACCATGCACATATATACCTGTGTAACAAACCTGCATGTTCTGCACATGTATCCCAGAACTTAAAGTATAATAATAATCATAATATTAAGAAAAACAAGTCTTAATGACTGGCATCAAAGACTATCCCAAAAAACCTCTTTAATTTAGTCAGACGGTAGAGCAACTTATGTCCTGGGGCATTGTTGAAAACAATGGCATAATTATTGGAGGCTAACAGCTGAGTGTGGTGCCAAGATAGGCCCACCAGCTAGAAGCTCAGCAGAAATAATAAAGAAAAGACAGTTAAAGCAAAACTAACTAAAGCCACTTTTATCCATGGAAGTTGGGGGTGGATAGGATGACTGTGCACATACTCAGAGCTGTGACCTCTGAGGTGCAGCATCAGAGGATGTACACTATAGAGTGATAGACTTCACTGAAATATTAAGTCACTAAATAAATAAACAAGCAAAAATAACAAAAGCTACAAACCCCTGGTTGGGAGAAAATAAATCAGTATCCAGAGTTGCAACAATAAATTCTTTGCATGTCCATACTAAAAACTAAAAAGCTCACAATATATGAGAACACATAGGAGACCACAACTTATAGATGGAGGAGAAAGTAGGCAGCAGAAACTGACTTTAAGAAGGCCCACTAAGACTTCAAACTAGCTAAGATGAATATATTTTAAGAACAACTAGAAACATGCTTAAAGAAGCAAAGAAAGGCCTGATGACAACTTCTCAGAACATAGATAGTATCAATAAAGACATAGAAATTATAAAAAGGAACCAAATAGATATTGTAGAGTTGAAGAATACAATAACTAAAATGAAAAACTCTCTAGGGGGACTCTACATAAAATCTGAGCTAGCAAAGAGTCAGTAAATTTGAAGATAAATCAATAGAGATTAAACAATCTGAAGAACAGAGAGAAAAAAATTACAAAATGAACAGAGCCTCAGAGAAAGGTAATATACCATTAAACACACCAACATATGTGTAATGCAAATAGGAGAAGAAGGCAAGAGAGAAAAAAGAGAAATAATATTTGAAAAGAAATAAAATCTTCAGAAATTTGATAGAAAACATAAATCTACACATCCAAAAATTCATTCAGCTGCAAGCATGATAAATGCAGAGATCTACCTGCAGAGCCATCATAGTGAAAACGCTGAAAGACAAAGAAGAGAAATTTTTTGAAAGCAGTAGGAGAAAAGGAAATGCAATGAAATTAACACAGACTTTTCAACAGAAGCCAAAGAGGCCAGGAAGCAGTGGGATAACATTCACAAAGTTATAAATAGAAAAAAAAAAAAAAACTGCCAACTAAGAATTTTATATTCAGCAACACTATAATTTTTAAATGGAGGAAGTAAAATTAAGACATTGCTAGATAAACCAAAACAGAAATAATTTGTTGTCTGCAGAAACACCTTGCAGGAAATTCCACAGAAAGTTCTTCAGGATGAAAGGAAGTGACACAAAATCTACATTCAAAATAAAGAGTATCAATAAAGGTAATTATGTAATTACTAAAGACAGTATAATTGCATATTTTTTCTTTCCTTTATTAAATGATTTAAATGGCAATTATATAAAACAATAATTATACAATTGTCTTTTTGGACCTATAACATATAGAAATATAATATATATAACAGTAACAACACAAAGGACCAGGTGGGCACAAATTTGTATTGGAGCAAAGAAAAGACATTAGATATTATAACAACAAAATGATGTTAAGGAAAGCAGAAAGAGTAAGTACATGGTAATTATAACAAGCTCAATAAATATACACTTCTTTTCTCAGCCTATTTAAATGACATAAAATCATATAAAGTAATAATTATAGTAGTATATGATTGTATTTGTAACCAAAATAAACTTAATATATACTATAATAATAGCAAAAGAAAGAGAAAGAAGAGAAGATACAGCTAAGTAGGAAGAGCATCACTGAGGAAGGCTAGATGTTGGGCTTACTAAACATTTGGTTACCTGTTTTAAATATGTTAAAAGAAGTAAAAGAAACAATGCCTAAGGAACTAAAAGTAAAGTATGAGAAAGGAAAATAAACAAATGCAAACTCTAAATTTAAAAATACAATAACTTGGCCAGGCAAGGTGGTTCATGCCTGTAATCCCAGCACTTTGGGAGGCTGAGGTGGGCAGATCATGAGGTCAGGAGATCGAGACCATCCTGGCTAACATGGTGAAACCCTGTCTCTACTAAAAATACAAAAAATTAGCCAGGCATGGTGGCGGGCGCCTGTAGTCCCAGCTACTCAGGAGGCTGAGGCAGGAGAATGGTATGATCCCAGGAGGCGGAGGTTGCAGTGAGCCGAGATCTCTCCACTGCACAATGCACTATAGGCTGGGTGACAGAGCGAGACTCCGTCTCAAAAAAAAAAAAAAGAGGAGGAGCCAAGATGGCCAAATAGGAACAGCTCTGGTCTACAGCTCCCAGTGTGAGCGACGAAGAAGATGGGTGATTTCTGCATTTCCTGCTGAGGTACCGGGGTCATCTCACTGGGGAGTGCCAGACAGTAGGTGCAGGACAGTAGGTGCAGTGCACCGTGCACGAGCTAAAGCAGGGCGAGGCATCACCTCACCCGGGAAGCGCAAGGGGTCAGGGAATTCCCCTTCCTAGTCAAAGAAAGTGGTGACAGATGGGACCTGGAAAATCGGATCACTCCCACCCTAATACTGCACTTTTCCAACGGGCTTAAAAAACGGCACACCAGGAGACTATATCCCACACCTGGCTTGGAGGGTCCTACGCCCACAGAGTCTCGCTCATTGCCAGCACAGCAATCCGAGATCACACTGCAAGGTGGTAGCAAGGCTGGGGGAGGGCTGCCTGCCACTGCGGAGTTAGTTGTTTGATTAGGTAAACAAAGCAGCCGGGAAGCTCAAACTGGGTGGAGCCCACCACAGCTCAAGGAGGCCTGCCTGCCTCTGTAGGCTCCACCTCTGGGGGCAGGGCACAGACAAACAAAAAGTCAGCAGTAACCTGTGGAGACTTAAATGTCCCTCTCTGACAGCTTTGAAGAGAGTAGTGGTTCTCCCAGCATGCAGCTTGAGATCTGAGAATGGGCAGACTGCCTCCTCAAGTGGGTCCCTGACCCCCGAGTAGCCTAACTGGGAGGCACCCGCCAGTAGGGGCGGACTGACACCTCACACGGCCGGGTACTCCTCTGAGACAAAACTTCTAGAGGAATGATCAGGCAGCAGCATCTGCGGTTCACCGATATCCGCTGTTCTGCAGCCACCGTGGCTGATACCCAGGCAAACAGGGTCTGGAGTGGACCTCTAGCAAACTCCAACAGACCTGCAGCTGAGGGTCCTGTCTGTTAGAAGGAAAACTAACAAACAGAAAGGACATCCACACCAATAACTCTTCTGTACGTCGCCATCATCAAAGACCAAAAGTAGATAAAACCACAAAGATGGGAAAAAAACAGAGCAGAAAAACTGGAAACTCTAAAAATCAGAGCGCCTCTCCTCCTCCAAAGGAACGCAGCTCCTCACCAGCAATGGAACAAAGCTGGACGGAGAATGACTTTGATGAGCTCAGAGAAGAAGACTTCAGACAATCAAACTACTCTGAGCTACAGGAAGAAATTCGAACCAATGGCAAAGAAGTTAAAAGCTTTGAAAAAAATTAGACGAATGGATAACTAGAATAACCAATGCAGAGAAGTCCTTAAAGGACCTGATGGAGCTGAAAACCAAGGCGTGAGAGCTACGTGACAAATGCAGAAGCCTCAGTAGCTGATGCGATCAACTGGAAGAAAGGGTATCACTGATGGAAGATGAAATGAATGAAATGAAGCGAGAAGAGAAGTTTAGAGAAAAAAGAATAAAAAGAAATGAACAAAGCCTCCAAGAAATATGGGACTATGTGAAAAGACCAAATCTACGTCTGATTGGTGTACCTGAAAGTGACAGGGAGAATGGAACCAAGTTGGAAAACACTCTGCAGGATATTATCCAGGAGAACTTCCCCAATCTAGCAAGACAGGCCAACATTCAGATTCAGGAAATACAGAGAATGCCACAAAGATACTCCTCAAGAAGAGCAACTCCAAGACACATAATTGTCAGATTCACCAAAGTTGAAATGAAGGAAAAAATGTTAAGGGCAGTCAGAGAGAAAGGTCGGGTTACCCACAAAGGGAAGCCCATCAGACTAAAGCAGATCTCTCGGCAGAAACTCTACACGCCAGAAGAGAGTGGGGACCAATATTCAACATTCTTAAAAGAATTTTCAACCCAGAATTTCATATCCAGCCAAACTAGGCTTCATAAGTGAAGGAGAAATAAAATCCTTTAGAGACAAGCAAATGCTGAGAGATTTTGTCACCACCAGGCCTGCCCTAAAAGAGCTCCTGAAGGAAGCACTAAACATGGAAAGGAACAACCGGTACCAGCCACTGCAAAAATGCCAAAATGTAAAGACCATCAAGGCTAGGAGGAAACTGCATCAACAAACAAGCAAAATAACCAGCTAACGTCATAATGACAGGACCAAATACACACATAACATTATTAACTTTAAATGTAAATGGGCTAAATGCTCCAATTAAAAGACACAGACTGGCAAATTGGATAAAGAGTCAAGACCCATCAGTGTGCTGTATTCAGGAAACCCATCTCACATGCAGAGACACACATAGGCTCAAAATAAAGGGATGGAGGAAGATCTACCAAGCAAATGGAAAACAAACAAAAGCAGGGGTTGCAATCCTAGTCTCTGATAAAACAGACTTTAAACCAACAAAGATCAAAGAGACAAAGAAGGCCATTACATAATGGTAAAGGGATCAATTCAACAAGAAGAGCTAACTATCCTAAATATATATGCACCCAATACAGGAGCACCCACATTCATAAAGCAAGTCCTTAGTGACCTACAAAGAGACTTAGACTCCCAACAATAATAATGGGAGACTTTAACACCCCACTGTCAACATTAGACAGATCAACGAGACAGAAAGTTAACAAGGATACCCAGGAATTGTACTCAGCTCTGCACCAAGTGGACCTAATAGAAATCTACAGAACTCTCCACCCCAAATCAACAGAATATACATTCTTTTCAGCACCACACCACACCTACTCCAAAACTGACCACATAGTTGAAAGTAAAGCACTCCTCAGCAAATGTAAAACAAGAGAAATTATAACAAACTGTCTCTCAGACCACAGTGCAATCAAACTAGAACTCAGGACTAAGAAACTCACTCAAAACCGCTCAACTACACAGAAACTGAAGAACCTGCTCCTGAATGACTACTGCGTAAATAATGAAATGAAGGCAGAAATAAAGATGTTCTTTGAAACCAATGAGAACAAAGACACAACATACCAGAATCTCTGGGACACATTCAAAGCAGTGTGTAGAGGGAAATTTATAGCACTAAATGCCCACAAGAGAAAGCAGGAAAGATCCAAAATTGACACCCTAACATCATAATTAAAAGAACGAGAAAAGCAAGAGCAAACACATTAAAAAGCTAGCAGAAGGCAAGAAATAACTAAAATCAGAACAGAACTGAAGGAAATACAGACACAAAAAACCCTTCAAAAAATCAATGAATCCAGGAGCTGGTTTTTTGAAAAGATCAACAAAATCAATAGACCGCTAGCAAGACTAATAAAGAAGAAAAGAGAGAAGAATCAAATAGATGCAATAAAAAATGATAAAGGGGATATCACCACCAATCCCACAGAAATACAAACTACCATCAGAGAATACTATAAACACCGCTATGCAAATAAACTAGAAAATCTAGAAGAAATGGATAAATTCCTTGACACATACATCCTCCCGAGACAACACCAGGAAGAACCTGAATCTCTGAATAAACCAATAACAGGCTCTGAAATTGAGGCAATAATCAATAGCTTACCAACAAAAAAAAGTCCAGGACCAGATGGATTCACAGCCGAATTCTACCAGAGGTACAAGGAGGAGCTGGTACCATTCCTTTTGAAACTATTCCAATCAACAGAAAAAGAGGGAATCCTCCCTAACTCATTCTATGAGGCCAGCATCATCCTGATACAAAAGCCTGGCAGAGACACAACCAAAAAAGAATTTTAGACCAATATCCTTGATGAACATTGATGCAAAAATCCTCAATAAAATACTGGCAAACCAAATCCAGCAGCACATCAAAAAGCTTATCCACCATGATTAAGTGGGCTTCATCCCTGGGATGCGAGGCTGGTTCAACATACACAAATCAATAAATGTAATGTAACATGTAAACAGAACCAAAGACAAAAACCACATGAATATCTCAATAGATGCAGAAAAGGCCTTTGACAAAATTCAACAACCCTTCATGCTAAAAACTCTCAATAAATTAGGTATTGATGGGACGTATCTCAAAATAATAAGAGCTATCTATGACAAACCCACAGCCAATATCATACTGAATGGGCAAAAACTGGAAGCATTCCCTTTGAAAACTGGCACAAGACAGGGATGCCCTCTGACCACTCCTATTCAACATAGTGTTGGAAGTTCTGGCCAGGGCAATTAGGCAGGAGAAGGAAATAAAGGGTATTCAATTAGGAAAAGAGGAAGTCAAATTGTCCCTGTTTGCAGATGACATGATTTTATATCTAGAAAACCCAATTGTCTCAGCCCAAAATCTTCTCAAGCTGATAAGCAACTTCAGCAAAGTCTCAGGATACAAAATCAATGTACAAAAATCACAAGCATTCTTATACACCAATAACAGACAAACAGAGAGCCAAATCATGAGTGAACTCCCATTCACAATTGCTTCAAAGAGAATAAAATACCTAGGAATCCAACTTACAAGGGATGTGAAGGACCTCTTCAAGGAGAACTACAAACCACTGCTCAGTGAAATAAAAGAGGACACAAACAAATGGAATAACATTCCATGATCATGGATAGGAAGAATCAATATCGTGAAAATGGCCATACTGCCCAAGGTAATTTATAGATTCAATGCCATCCCCATCAAGCTACCAATGACTTTCTTCACAGAATTGGAAAAAACTACTTTAAAGTTCATATGGAACCAAAAAAGAGCCCACATCGCCAAGTCAATCCTAAACCAAAAGAACAAAGTCGGAGGCATCACGCTACCTGACTTCAAACTGTACTACAAGCCTACAGTAACCAAAACAGTACGGTACTGGTACCAAAACAGAGATATAGACCAATGGAACGGAACAGAGCCCTCAGAAATAATGCTGCATATCTACAACTATCTGATCTTTGACAAACCTGACAAAAACAAGAAATGGGGAAAGGATTCCCTATTTAATAAATGGTGCTGGGAAAACTGGCTAGCCATATGTGAAAGCTGAAAACTGGATCTCTTCCTTACACCTTATATAAAAATTAATTCAAGATGGATTACCGACTTAAATGTCAGACCTAAAACCATAAAAACCCTAGAAGAAAACCTAGGCAATACCATTCAGGACATAGGCACAGGAAAGGACTTCATGTCTGAAACACCAAAAGCAATGGCAACAAAAGTCAAAATTGACAAATGGGATCTAATTAAACTAAGGAGCTTCTGCACAGCAAAAGAAACTACCAACAGAGTGAACAGGCAACCTACAGAAGGGGAGAAAATTTTTGCAACCTACTCATCTCACAAAGAGCTAATATCCAGAATCTACAATGAACTCAAACAAATTTACAAGAAAAAAACAAACAACCCCATCAAAAAGTGGGCAAAGGATATGAACAGATACTTCTCAAAAGAAGACATTTATGCAGCCAAAAAACACATGAAAAAATGCTCACCATGACTGGCCATCAGAGAAATGCAAATCAAAACCACAATGAGATACCATCTCACACCAGTTAGAATGGCGATCATTAAAAAGTCAGGAAACAACAGGTGCTAGAGAGGATGTGGAGAAATAGGAACACTTTTACACTGTTGGTGGGACTGTAAAGTAGTTCAAACCATTGTGGAAGTCAGTGTGATGATTCCTCAGGGATCTAGAACTAGAAATACCATTTGACCCAGCCATCCCATTACTGGGTATATACCCAAAGGATTATAAATCATGCTGCTATAAAGACACATGCACACGTATGTTTATAGCGGCACTATTCACAATAGCAAAGACTTGGAGCCAACCTAAATGTCTGACAATGATAGATTGGATTAAGAAAATGTGGCACATATACACCATGGAATACTATGCTGCCATAAAAAATGATGAGTTCATGTCCTTTGTAGGGACATGGATGAAACTGGAAACCATCATTCTCAGCAAACTATCTCAAGGACAAAAAACCAAACACCGCATGTTCTCACTCATAGGTGGGAATTGAACAATGAGTACACATGGACACAGGAAGGGGAACATCACACACCGGGGACTGTTGTTGGGTGGGGGGATGGGGGAGGGATAGCATTAGGAGATATACCTAATGCTAAATGACGAGTTAATGGGTGCAGCACAACAACATGGCACATGTATACATATGTAAAAAACCTGCACTTTGTGCACATGTACCCTAAAACTTAAAGTATAATAATAATAAAATTAAAAAAAAAAGAACTCTATTTGCAAAAAAAAAAAAAATACAGTAACTCAAACAAAAACACATTAGAGGATAGGGATAGAGAGGCACAATAGCATGTTTTAGTTGGTAAAGTTGAAGATAGAGCAAAAGATTCAGCAAACTTGAAGACAGGTCAACTCAGACTAACCAGTCTGAGAAACAAAAGAAGGATGAGGAAATAAAACAGCTTCAGAGAACTGTGGTACACCATCAACTATACCAAGATATGCATAATGAAAGTTCTCAAAGAAAAGGTGAAAAAGGGATAAAATTAATACTTGAAGAAATAATGGCCAAAACCCCTAGTTTCAGTGAAAAGCATTAGTATTTACATCCAAGAAGCATAATAAAGTCTAGGTAGAATTCATTTTAACAGATTTACACTTAACTGTATCATAACAAAATTATTAAAAGATGAAGTCTTGAAAGAGCAAGAAAAGCAATGCATCACAAGTGATCCTCAATAATATTAACAGTTGATTTCTCATTCAGAGACTATGGAGGCCAAGAGGAGGTGGGACAATGTATACAAAGCACTAAACAGGCCAGGCGCAGTGGCTCACGCCTGTAATCCCAGCACTTTGGGAGGCCAAGGCGGGAGGATCACTTGTGGTGAGGAGTCTGAGACCAGCCTGACCAACATAGTGAAACCCCGTCTCTACTAAAAATACAAAAATTGGCCGGGCATGGTAGTGTGAGCCTGTAATCCCAGCTACTCAGGAGGCTGAGGCAGAAGAATGGCTTGAACCTGGGAGGTGGAGTTTGCAGTGAGCCGAGATAGCACCATTGCACTCCAGCCTGGCTGACAGAGCAAGACTCCATCTCAAAAAAAAAGAAAAGCACTAAACAAAAAAGACTGTCAACCAACAATTCCACATCCAGCAAAACTACTGCTCAACAATTAACAAGAAATTAAAATATTCCCACATAAACAAAAACTGATTTGTCACTAACCAACCTGCCCTATAATACAAAGTCCTCTATCTGAAATAATATGATACATTAACTCAAATCTACACAAAGAAATCAAGAGCACTGATAAAGACAAATACATAGGAAAACATAAAAACAGTTAAATGTATTTTTGTTTGTAAATCTTTTTTTCTTTTATGTGAGTTAAAATACAACTTTGTAAAGTAGTAACTATAAATATGTATTGATGGGCATACAATGTATAAAGATATTGTGTGACAATAATAGCACAAATCTTGCAGGTGAGAAGAGAATATAGCTACATAATAGCAAAATTTGTATATGCTATGGAAATTAAGTTAGTAGTAATCTGAACTAGATTGTTATATGTTGAGATGTTAATTGTAACCCCTAGGGAAACTACTAAGAGAATAACATGAAGAACATAGAAAAAGAAATGACAAGAGAGTTAAGATGGCATTTTTGGAAAAAAATATGATTTCACAAAAGAAGGCACTAATTGAGAGATAGAGGAATAAAAATAACATAGTACCAGTAGAAAACAAAACAAGACAATTTATAAGAATAGTAGAGATGAATTCTATCTTATCAATCATTACATTAAATGTGAATGAATTGAACAAGACAGAGATGTGCAAAAAGCATTTTTAAGGAAAAACCATGATCTAACTATAACCATGATCTAACTATATGCTGTGTACGTGAGACAAACTTTAGATTCAAAGGCACACACAGGTTGAAAGTAGAAAGAGGAAAAATGATATACCTTGTCAACAGTAAACAAAAGAGAGCTGATATACTAATATCAGACAAAAATAGACTTTAAGACAATAATTGTCACTAGAGGCAAAGAAGGACATTCTTTCAATAATAAAAGGCTCAATCCTTCTAGAAGATATAGCAATATAAATTTGTATGCACCTAACAACACAACACCAAAAACTCAAAGCAAAACTAACGAGATTGAAGGAAGAAACAGACCATTCAACATTAATATTTGCAGACTTCAATATCTCACTTTCAATAATAGATACACATTTAATCTACATATTTCTAAGCACTGCTTTAGCTGAATTCCATACACATTAGCATGTTGTACTATACATCCATTCATCTCAGAGTATTTTTAAATGTCTCTTGGGATTTCTTCTTTGACACATTGATATTTAGTAATGTGTTTAATCTCCACCTATTTGTGAATTTGCCACATTTCCTTCTATTATTGATTACTAATTTCATTCCATTGTACTTGGAGAACATATACTGTATGATTTCTACACTTTAAAATTTATTGAGACTTGTTTTATGGCTTTGTATGTGATATATACAAAGCCATAGATAGTCTATCCTGGAGAATGTTCCATGTGCCCTTGAGTAAACTGTGTATTTGTTGTTATTGTTTGGGGTGTTCTATAGACATCTGTTAGGCCTATTAAGTCTGTAATTTCGTTCAAGTATTTTTTATGAAATAGAGAAGTTCATAGACAGATATAAACTACCAAAAATGATTAAAAAAGAAACAGAAAATCTGATTAGACCTACAATAAGTAAAGAGATAGAATTTGTAATCAACAAAGTTCCCACATAGGAAAGCCCAGGACCTGATGGCTTTGTTGCTGAATTCTACCAAGCTTTTAAAAAGAATGCCTAATCTTTCTCCAAAGCTTCCAGAAAAAATTGAAGTGGATAAAACACTTTCAATTCATTCTTTGATACCAATATTTTCTTGATATCAAAACCAAACAAAACATTCTGGGGAAAAAAACTGCAGACCAAAATTCTTTATGAATATAGACGCAAAACTCAACAAAATATCGGCCAACCAAATCCAGCAACATATAAAAGACTGAAAAACTGCCCCAGATTGAAGGAACTAAGGAGACACAATGACTAAACATAATGGGGAATTATGGATTGGATCTTAGAACAGAAAGATAACTTAATTTAAAAACTGGTAAAGTTAGGCTGGGCGCGGTGGCTCATGCCTGTAATACCAGCACTTAGGGAGGCCGAGGTAGGCAGATCACAAGGTCAGGAGTTTGAGACCATCCTGGCTAACATGGTGAAACTCCATATCTACTAAAAGTAAAAAAAAAAAAAAAAAATTAGCCAGGCATGGTGGCAGGTGCCTGTAGTCCCAGCTACTCGGGAAGCTGAGGCAGGAGAATTGCTTGAACCCAGGAGGTGGAGGTTGCAGTGAGCTGAGATTGCACCACTGCACTCCAGCCTGGGCAAAAGGGCAAGACTCCGCCTCAAATAAATAAATAAATAAATAAATAAATAAATAAATAATAAATAAATAAAAACTGGTAAAGTGTGGATGAAGTCTCTAGTTAACAGCATAGTACCAATGTTAGTATCATTTTGACAATTTTACTGTGCTTGTGAAGGCTGCTATCATTAGGGAAAGCTAGGAAAACTAGGGAAAGGTAGATAGGAACTCTACCACCTATAGTATGTCTAAAATTATTTCAAAATAAAAATTTTTTAAAGAAAAACTCTCTCTAATCCAAATGTTCATCAGAAGTAGAAGAGATAAATAAATTACTGTGGTTACATTTTGATAAAAGAGAGAGGGTGTAAAGATATGGAGAGGATACCAGGGTAGTTTCTGGGATGCTGTCCATGTTCTATTTCTTGTCTTGCATTGTGGTTGCACAGTTTTCAGTTATTCGCTTTGTGAGAGTTCATCAAGATGTAATTCAATTGCACTGTTACGTTTCAGACATAGCACTGGCTTTTAAATTCAAATGGTTCTATTAAAATCAAAATTAATGAGTCAGGTTTAAATCTAAGGCCAACGGCATTAACTGTATCAGAGAATGCTCTAGTGCCTAAACGAAAATGTTACTACAACGTAGCATTTGATTAATGAAAACATAGCCCCCATAAAGGGGTAAATCTCAAAAACATCCACTAGAGACCAATAGTTTGTGCTGTTTCTCTTGAGTTTTCTACAGAGACAGTCATAAATCTATAAATAACAACATTTTCTTTTCTAAAGTTAAATTTTGTTTTACCAGTTTTATTTAATTTGTTCTAGTTCCAAAACACCATTAAATAATTTGGAAAGCATAGGTATTTCAATGGCTTCAGCTCTACATAACAGAAACCCCAAATAAATAGGGCTTAAATAAATCAGATTAATTATTTCACTTCAGATAACCCTAAAATAGAGTTATTTCGGGGCTGGTAAATGTATCTCCACAACATTATTAAATGATCCAGATTCTCTCCATCTTTTCTCTCTGCTATCCTCAGAAGGTTGCTCACTCCTCATGGTTGCAAGAAGGCTGCTGTACCTGCAGCTTCTGTATTCTCAGTGAAAACATAATAAAACCATAACACATTGACTTTCATGCATCATTTATGCCCGTTTTCCCAGAAGCCCCACAACAGACATCTCACATTTTATTTTTCTAATTTTATTGTACATTCTTTTCTAAGGCAACCTTCGCTTAGGCAAACAGAACATTACCAGGACTGGCTTCGACTTGTCAAGATGCATCCTCTGGGACTAAAGAGGGGCCCAGCATCCAATGGAACACATAGACACACAGTGCCTGAATCATATTGAGGTTCTATTAGCAGAAGGAAGAGGAAATAATTCTTAAGTAGGAATTCACCAGCTGTTAGAAACAGCGTCATTTTATTATTCTTTACTGTAATAATACATTATTTACAGGGGATTCAGTGTTCCCTGTGAAGAATGATGCAGCTGTTGGTTGAGATACTCTTTATAATATTAAGGGAGTATCATTCTATTTCTAGTATTCTGAGAATTTGTATTGGCAACAATATGTATGTAGTACTTAGTCAAATCCTTTGTTTTGTGTTGGTTTCTGTTTCTGTCTTTGGTTTTTTACTTTGGTGGGGGTAGAGTTGGCCATTGGCCTAGACAATAACCTTTAGCTTATTGACATGCTTTGTTTCATTAAGAAATTTTCTAATGTCTAATGTTGCATCCTCTTTATTTTCTCAGAATATACCTTCTTCGGGCATGGGAATATTTGGTTTTTAATATAATTCCAGATTTGACCTCAAATTTTTCTTCAAACAAGGATCTGAATTAACATACACGTTTACAAAACAGGTTTTATTAATGGCTTTATGTAATGGTTATAATAATCATAAAGTGATTTTAAAGCTATTTATGTTTCATTTATTCAATGAAATTTTAAAAAAATTCTTTTCTGTATCATTAGGTCCCAGAATCTTTATAGATCTTGGTTCTTGGTTTATTTTAATTTTTGTAATTTAGGAAAAAAGATCAGTTTTATAAATTTTTTTCTAGAAAATCATGAAATGATAAAAACATAAAGTAGCTTAAAGGTATACAAAGTATTATCTTGTATTTTTTCTCTCTGTAGTTATTCATTTCTAATTTTGAGTATTTACATTACATTATCTTTAGACTTCCCAAAGGGTTTTCTGTTTTATTAAAATTTTAAAAGAACCAGCTCTTGGATATATTTGCTAAATCATTAAATCATTAACTATCAGCTTTTGTTTTTGATATGTTTTTCTTCTTATTTTTGAGTTGCTTTGTTGTGCATACTTAATTTCTATGATAGAATATTTTATTTACATACTTACATTATTCTAGCATAATGTTAGCACTCGAGGATCTGAAGTAGTGTGTAAAAAGATCTTTGGCCACCTGTTATAGTGATATTTTTAATCACAGTATGATTACTTCTAAAATACTCTAGAATTAAATATGTTATTACCTTATTGCTCTTTATTAATTATAAAATTTCAAGCAATACAGAAATATGAAATAAAAAATAAACTTTCTACTGTACCTTACCTCAAACCAGCTTTCTTTCCAATGCTACCAACTGCTAACAGTCCCTTTATTGTTTTAAATATTTTTTTACTTACATTAATATGCATTACATTTTTTAAATGCTGTAAATGTTCATTCTTATGTTCATATCATTGCCAGCATGTACAAATATTTCTTTATAATAGATTTCAGGGAATGGGTTTCCTGGGTCAAGTTGTATGTACATGTTTAATTTTGATAACTATTCTCAAATTGCTCTCCACAAAAGGCTGTGTTAGTCCACACAACAATAGTATGTGTCCATGCCCATTTTCCTACATCCTGGCCAACCTTGATATATAACCAACATTTTAATTTATAATTTGATCACCATGGTTTTTAGCAGATAAGTTTTAATTTCTAAAAGCTTGTATTTTTTATGTTGTTGGTAGTGGTTGTTTAATCTCTTACTATTCTTTCAAAATTTTCTTGCAACAATTCAATACAAGAATGTAAATGGTAAAAATTATGTTTTTCAAAATGTGTTGAGATTTCTTCTGCAGCTTCTATTGGTAAAATGCCATGAGTGCCTAAAAGAAGCATTTTCTCTAAAAAATAAACACTTTAAAATCTTTTCAACATTAATGTATTATTATTATATTGTTTGGGTTATCATACCTGTATTTTGTATCTAGCTACTATTCTTTCAAAACTAAAAAGTTGTTTAAGACTTTAATTACTATGCAAATTTATTATAGCTTTCATTTACTTAAAATCTCTGTATATTCCTGAAGTTAAATTATAGAATCCTAATCTGACCAAGAAAATACATCAACATTCTTAGAGTTCACATATAAATGATAGTGTATATATTTCTAAGCAAATGACAAGTCCAGGCTTCTGGCTTCCTCCCTTCAACCCAGATTTGGAGATGCCAATGGCAACTAATAGAAAGTATTAGTGAAAATCCTAGGGAGTGACAGAGTGAATCAGTCCCAGTATGTGGGAAACAGCTTTCAACAGGAGAGCTCCAGGGCGGGCGTGCATTTGTGGCCTGGCCTAGAGAGAGTTTTCTAGTAGTGCCCTTTTCTTTAATTGCTTGTACCTTTGCTCCATTGGGCAGCCAATAGCAATAAATATTTCAATGATCCAGAACATTTTTCTGCATTCCCTGAACTAAGCAATAACCTTAAAATGTGTCTACTCTTGGATTAAAACACAACTTGGATCAGAAGCCCTGGGGAATTTTCTCAGCAGCCAAGAGATGCCTGGGGAGGTAAAGAGGCATGGATTACAAGGGAGAGGCTCCCTGTTCTGAAGCACTCCTCCCTCCAGTCTCACTGGAGTAATTGCAAGCTTAAAGCCCAGGCTTTCATCAATTCCCATAAAGTTGACAAAACTAGTCAATACAGCTAATGATGACAGAGGATAAAATTTCAGTTACTGTGAAATCAATAGTTTTGAGGACTTAAAATGAAAGCAAAATAACAAATTGAGGGAGATCTACAAAAGGAGATAGCCCTAACGAAAAAGAAAGAAGAATTTAAAATACTCATAGATGGAAGAGGATATTTGGTACACGAGGTAGGAAAAAGCAGCTATGAAGAAAAATCAATTGCAGGTATTTGGGATAAGAGATATAGTTGTTGAATAATCTCAATGGATAGATACATTTGGTGAGCAAGGGGTTAGGTCAAAGTATATTCCTAGAAGGCATCAGGAAAGGATAAGTGAGAAAGGAAAGGTAACAAACAGGGAAGAGGACAGGAGACATTCAACATCTACCCAATAGGAGTCCCAGGAAAAAATGTAAACAGAGAGGGGGAATAATTTGAGAATATAATGGCAATTTTACAAATAGTAAATGTTGCCATAATATTTTGGAATAACAGGGCTCAGAGAGTGTCACATAGGGTAGAAAAGTACCCTAGATGCATTTTAGTAAAATTTAAGAACACCATAGACAAAGAAAAACAACAATAGATTCTAGAGAGAAAAATCAGATTCTCTCTAAGGAGTAAACATTGGATTGGCATTAAATAGCTTAACAGCAACCCTGGCTTAAGAAGATAATCGAATAGTATTTTGAAAGGGCCGAAGAAATTAAAGTTTAATAAAGAATTTCATATATACCTCAATTTCCACTTAAGATAAAAGACGATTAAAGATATTCTCAGGCTAAAGGGTCTCAAATAGTATTACAACATGATCTACTTTGAAAGAATTTTTAGATGTTGTATCTCAGGATGAAGAAAAACAAATGCAGAAGGCAATAAGATATAGAGGAAAGACAGATGGATGAACTTGTCAAAATAGGCAAAAATTTGTAAGAATTTAATCCATATAATCTGGTATTAAAACTCTAGAAAGTACTTACTTGACTGGAAACTGGAGGCAGTATTCATGGCACCAATGGAAGATGAGAACATGCCAGCTAAATGGCTTGCTGGCCCAGGGCAATATATAGATGTATCTGAGCTTTAGTTTTGTTTGTTTGTTTGTTTTCCTGAGCTTTAGTTTTGCTAAATAATAAATAAGCATGCATTTGAGTGTTAATAAATTAGAGGTAACCACCAGGAGAATAAAAATAGAATGCAGAACTTTTACACTAGAAAAATTTCCTCTACCCACTGGAAAATAGAGAATGTATAGTAAGAAAGCATAAGAAATAGAAAACAAAGTAAAATGGTAGGAATAAGTCCTAGTGTAGCAATAATCGCAACAATAACAAAATAGTTTATTTATGGCCCACTATATTCTAGAAATGAATTAGGGTGGCTTTCAAAGAAATACTGTATCAGCAAGAAACTAAATCTAAAATACAAGAGACAGTAAAGCTATGATAGGAAGATTAAGTCATAGGTAAGGTATATACACCTAATGCTGGCTTCAAATAATGCCTCAAATACCAAAAGATTGATAATGGATACCTATTAGAGCAAGTTTAGAAATTCAAATACATGATATTGCTACTTTCTTTTGAGATGTCACATCTCAGAATCTTGTCTAATTGATCTGTGACTCCAACGTCACCTGTCACTCTCCTGTCAGCCACTGAGAATTGTACAGTATTAACTTCACACACTAACACCAAAATATTAGTCAGGATAGTTACCTAATTAAAAACATTTTCCCTCTGTTCCCTTTAAACTGATTAAAAACTGTCTCTCTGAAATACCAATATTGTTCTACAGCTTTTGTTATAATGGCATTTTCCTTTAAAGACATATATTCTTGTATAGCACCAAAGAAGAGAATTTCCCATTTCTAAAAGATTATTTCATATTTTCCTTAATCATATATGCATGAGATAGTATCACAGCAAAACCTCATTCAATACATGTATTTTAACAAGTTAGACCACCAGTTATACACTCTAATTGTATGACTAAACAAGCCATTTTCTGAACTTATTATTCCCTCATTAATAGAGAGAGGTTAGGATAAATGATCTTTAAAATATCCCACACTTTTCATATTTTATATTTCCCTTCCATATTGACTTTGTTATAATTCATTCATGGAATAATTTACTTTAACATATATTACTTTTTATTTCTATGAAGTCGTATTTATTGTAGAAACAAAGAGCTGAGGTGAGAAGAAATAATCACCCATAAATCTGATCATCTTTGTCTATTAACATTGTTTTATTTATATAGCACTTTGCTTATTATTTTATATCAGCGACATCATATTTACATGAAATCTTATGTTGTATTTCTATTGTTTAATAATACAAAATTAGAATTTACATGTAACTAAATTTGCTACCATATTTACACAGTTATAAATGTTGCAATGCATGTTGCTGTCTATACCCATGTGTGTTTGGGAAGTTTTTTCTTAATATAATTTCTATGTCAATGATACAAATAATGTTCTATTTAGGTAACATTTCTCGAGGGCTTACTAATGTATCAGACATTGTTCTAAGTGTTTCACAGATATTAACTCATTTATCCTCACATCAACTTGTTGAGCAAGGTCTTATTTTTATCCATCCTCTCTAGAGGCAGAATTTGAGGCACATAGGAGAGGTTAAATACTTTCCTCATGGCCAGATAGTAAGCAGCAGAATTAGAGTTCAAATCCAGGTTCTGAAGATGGAAACATGAGAGGAGCACCTCTGAACAAATATACTCATACCCTTAAGACTGAGTTTTAGTACCAGTTTTTTCAAGATGATGCACAGAACATGCTATGATATCAATTTTCTATTAAAATGGTAGTGTGGCACCTTTATGGCATAGAAAGAACTGGACTACTTCAGTGTCTACATGACTTCTTTAGGTAAAAGGGCGCACATCAGTGTCTAAAGGTCTTTTTTTTTTGAGACAGAGTATTGCTCTGTCACCAGGCTGGAGTGCAGTGGCACAATCTCTGCTCACTGCAACCTCCGACTCCCTGGTTCAAGTGACTCTCCTGCCTCAGCCTGCCAAGTAGCTGGGATTACAGGCACATGCCACCATGCCCAGCTAATTTTTGTATTTTTAGTAGAGACGGGGTTTCACCATATTGGCCAGGATGGTCTCGATCTCCTGACCTCATGATCTGCCTGCCTCGGCCTCCCAAAGTGCTGGGATTATGGGCATGAGCCACCATGCCTAGCCTAAAGGTATTCTTTAGATAAAAGGTCACACGTGGAGCATTTCCTTTTAGAAGCAGTTTTCCCAAGTCTATGAGTTATCTAAAGGTACTGAAGGAGTCCAAAATTCATATGCCTACAACCCTGTGTGATGGATAAGAAAACTTATAAGGATCACAAGAAACACTCTAGATCTCAATGCACACATTAGTTCTGTAGCAAATATAAATTTGTAAAAGATGTATTTGTTTATGTTTTTGGCTTTCTTTGTTAATATGTTATTTTTAATAACCTGAAATCACAAGTTATTTAAATATAAACTACTCTCCTAAAGAATTGAACATTAACTGCTATGGAAAGTATTCCTGGCTTCCTCCTTAATTCCCATGTGCATGAGTGACATGGCCAGTGGGTAGGCATGGGAAGCACTGAAGTTCACATGGACCTAGTAGCACCAAATGCAGCTCAGGTTCACTTTAGCAAAACTCCCTAGTATCATTTTTATAAGTAGGTTTATTATTTAATTAGTCAAGTTTTCATCCACATTGCCTATTTTTCTACTGCGCTCTGCCAAAAACACTCTTTGGCAGATGGTAAAATAATGAAATTGTTGGCTCCAAAATCCAAAATCTTGGAGATAATTAGAAGATTTGATACAGGTAACATTTATTAGTCATGAAGAGCTTGACAGCATGGAGAATTTTTCAACCCACACAATTTCTAAAGGGAGAAAAAAAATCTTTTTTTAATAATACTGATCAAATTATGTTTCTGTGACAAGAAAGGAGAAATACATTTTATAAGGCCTAGCTGGACAGCTTCTTCATTCAAGCATAGCCTACACAGAGAAGGAAGGAAAGTCTTTAAAAAAGTCTTTTCCACAACGGCAAATACGAACAATGTTTGAAAATTTCTCTCTGTTCTAGTTAAATCAGTTGGAACTTCACCAGTTAGAAATGAATACCAAGAATCATCTTGGAAATCATTTAAAGTAGCTATGAGTGAACAAAAATGTCTTCAAATTAACAACTTTCCTCCTTTCTTAGCATAAGCATCACTCTTGGGCTGGGAAGGAACTCCTGTGCAGGGTCATTTGCTGGTTATAGCAGCTTACGGTTTTAAGATGTAACCATTTTAGCTATTTAAAGCAAGAAGGCAGGAAGGCAGGCAGAAAGAAAGAGGCTTATTTTTTTTTTCTGTTTTTCCAGTTGAAATATAATGATCTTTAAAAGAGAGAATTTCAAAAGAGAATGGCTGGCTCTATAGATGTTATCAAAGATTGGGATTAATTCTTTTGTATTATGAAAATGGAATGATAAACTGGCAAAGAATGAAATACAGCTATAAGGACTAGGAAAAAATATTTTTCAAAGAAGATTTGTTAACCAGACACTTCTGGAAACAGGGACTGTTAAACTCTAAAAACAGGCCTTATTGTAGATATCTGATACAATTTAAAAATAACAATAATAGATAGTTTTCAAGTAAACATGACCTGGAAGGTGGTGAGAAACAATTCATCAGGAGCATAAATCATGATAGAATATGATCATCATAATAGCTGACGTTTATCAGGCAGGTCATATGTGCAGACACTGTTCAAAGTGCTTTATTCACATGAACTCATTGATTACCTACAACGTTTCAGTGAAGTAGTTTTCAAGGCTTTGGTAGATTAGATTGCTTGACTAAGGTTGCAGAACTGTTAACAATATAACTGGAAACTGAACTCAGGAAATATAATTTCAGAATCCATGGTTTTAACCTCTATGCAATATGACCTTATCCTAATACAAGGATGATAAGGTAAATTTAAAATTTATCTCTAGGCTCTTGGCACAATCTTTTATGTAGAGGTGAAACCATTATGAAGGTATATATGTTCTGTAATAATGAAAGGGTATGCCTCGTTCAAAGGAAATTGATCTTAGAGCAAGATGTAACAGTATTTCATGTAAAGAAGGTGTACATGATTTGACCAAAAGAAGAAAGGAAGGAAAGGAATAAAATATCTATGGTCCTAACATAGAAGAAATACACAAACATGCTAAAGGGCACTTTTGAAGGCAAGAAAAAATAATAATTTTATTGTTAAGAATATTGTAGGCTTTCAGATAATATTCCAGATATCTCAGATGATAGCCATGGTTAACATTTTGGTACTTTGTATGTATGTATGTGTGTATAAACAAATATACATATATGAATTCAATAAATATTTATTGAGTTCCTACTGCCAGATACTGTTGGGTTTTCTGTGTTTAGAGTGAAGAACAAGCCTGCTCTCACACTTATGGGAGAAACAGAAAATTGTAAAAATATTAGTTACTAATAACATATAAAGAAAAATTTATCGTGATGAAAGAAGGAATCAATGAGCTATTTTATTTGAATGCTGAGGAAAGGTCTTGTTGAACTCAAATAAAGGGAGGGAGGTGGGTGAGAAAGAGGTAAGCAGGAGGAGGAGGTGGGGGGGGCAGTGGGGGCCAATGATGGCCTGGAAAGAAAATTCTAAGCAGAAGCAGCAGCAGGGTAAAAAAAACTGGTGAAAGAACATACTCTGGTTGTTTAAGAATAGCAAGAAAGTCAGTGGAGCTGGAGAGGTTTCAGCAAGAGGTGAGGAAATATCGAAAAATGAAATCAAAGAAACAGGCCCAACCTTGTCATGTTTCTCAGTTTGGGCTTCTTGCTAAAGAGTGTGGGATGCTATTGTAAGATTTTGAGCAGGAGAGTGAAATGATTTGATTTCCACCTTAGAAATCTCATCCACATCACTATGCAAAAGAGCAAAATCAGGATAACCAGTTAGGAGGCTGTGGGAATATTTTAGACATGAGGTGATAGTATGAAGTCTGATATGCCAACTGGACTTCTAAGTGAAAAATATCTTGTAGACTGTTGGAAAAACTGGTCAAAACTCAAAGGAGAGGCAGGACAGAAGATATACATTTGTGATGCCTCAATATGTAGATAATATTTAAATCATGAGTCCCATAGAAATGAACATAGGTTAAAAAAATGAAGAAAAAAAGAAATGTGAGGACCAATACCTGGAAAATTCCAAAACTTACAAGTTAGAGAATGGAAGAAAGAGCAAGGAAAACTGAGAAGTAGTATCTTGTGAGGTAGAAGAAGAATCCAGAAGCCACAGTGTCCTGAAAATCATGAGAATGAAGTGTTTTATGAAAAAGGGAATTATCAATGCATTTGACTATAGATAGACAGAGATAGAGATTGAGCTATAAATATGTTTGAGCTTTTTAAAACTGGAAATATAGTGAATATTTGTTCATATTTTAAGCATATTTTAATTTCTGTATAACATTCAAATCAGAAGCCATTTTAAGAAAGACTATAAGATGATAAGATACAGGTCTAGAAAAATGCTTTTTTGGTAAGCTACTTTGATTCCCCAAGTAAAAGTCATTAGATAAGGCTCTGTTATGCTGTTATGAATGCAATAATCAGTATGAACCACATCATAAGAGAGAAAAGAATGAGTGATTCCTCTTAGAATCAGTGTTTTTGGGGGTAATAGATTTTACAGTTACTCAAAATTAAACAATTTAAGTAAATTACCAGTGATTCTGGGAGACTTGGAGAGCCAGGCTGACTAAGGCTAAGAGGAGAGAAGAGGAAAAAAAGTGAATCCCTCCATCCTGGCTAACTCAGTGAAACTCTGTCTCTACTAAAAATACAAAAAATTAGCCGGGCGTGGTAGTGGGTGCCTGTAGTCCCAGCTACTCAGGAGGCTGAGGCAGAATGGCGTGAACCCAGGATGAGGAGCTTGCAGTGAGCCGAGATTGTACCACTGCCCTCCAGCCTGGGCGACAGAGCAAGACTCTGTCTCAAAAAAAAAAAAAAAAAAAAAAAAAAAAAGTGAGTCTCCTCTTTTTTCAAAGGCTTGGATTGATAGATGCTCATGTTTTGCCCAAAAGAGGCTTCTACTTGTTGAGCTAGCTATAAGAAGGTGAAGAGTGTGGGGGAAAGAAATATGCCTACTGTGTTAACCCCCATGTGTCAAGCCTGTCCAAAATCTGCAGCCATAACTTCCATTATATCTCATTGGCCAGAACTTAGTCATGTGGCCGTCACTGTCTGAAAGTTAAAGGGGTTAGTTTTTGTTTATTTGTTTGTTTGTCTTTAAACTGAGAATACTGTTGCACTCAGTGAAACTAGTATTCTATAGTAGGGAAAGACAGGATAATAACTAATGTGTGAATAAATATAAGTCTCTGGATAGGAACCTCAAGATACACTTATGCTTTTTTCAGTCCTCATTTCTCATCATATGTCTTCCTCCAACTATAATACAATTCTATATTTGTATTTAATTTATTGTGCTTTATTGTCTAGGTCTTTACTCATACTAAATTCACTCTGCTAAGAACACTTTTCTCCTTTCCCTTTCATATGGCTTAATTCTTCTGATTTTTCCACTCTCAGCTTAAATGTTACTTCCTCAAATCTGCATTGCCTTTGTTGTCCTCATCGGCATTAGCATCGTGAATATTATTATTATTAGTTTTGCTAAACACTGAGGACAGATCGCTTCTGTCTATTAACCATTGGCTAGTAGTTTATCATTGAATACCTCGCTTAGTCTACACTCTCAAGGAAGAAGAAGGCAGAGCCCAATGCAGATGGCTAAATTCCAGCTCATGTTTTCCTCTTTTGAGGCTCCTATCTGGAAGGTATAGCGTCCATCCTTTACCTAATTATGGACCATTGTTTCTTCTCCATTTGTTTTGGTTTCTTTTAGAGAGGCAACTATTATACATAGATTGAATCTTCATTCTCTGACCAATGCTAATGAGAGTGCGGTTTAGGTTCCTCAGTGATCATGTTGTACAGCTGCTCTGAGCCTTGCCATTGTTTGCTTCTGAAAATGCAATCACTTGAATTCTTATCAGATCTTAGTTACAAGGTAGCAAACAAACCGACTGCTCTGCTCATGCTGAAAGAATTCAGGAGGTCTTTGTGTAGAATCTGATTTATAATCCTTATAAAATAAAGTACCATTCCAGAGTTACTAGTGCCATTGCTCAAGTCTTGCTGCTCACCAGTGTGAAATTAGGACTTCAGGAAGGTGGCTAACAAGAGATACCTGGAGTTTGTTGCCCCAATAAGAAAGGACCAAGACAATGAATAAAGAGCTAAGATTTGACTGGAGTATTGAAGGGAGAGCACTGGAGTGCATTGGAGGGGTGGAGACACACCAATGATGATTGGGAGTCCAGAAAAGCAGCAAGGAGGCACCAGGCCTCTTCTGGCCCCCTGGCTCAGATCAGATCTGACAGGAGTCAGGAAGGATTTTTTTGTGTGTGGGAAAAAAAAATGCCAGCCCCAATTGCCACCACAAACACTTATGGTCCTTCTACAGGAGAATCCCTAGTCCTCACAAGCCCTGAATCCAGTTTGGAGAGCTTCTGGGAATTTGTGCAGATGCATTGCCTCAGACTAGGAGCATGAGGTATGCATTCTGCACTCCCCACCTACCTGCTGGGAGCCCAGCTGCTGCAGCATGACACCATCTTGAGAACAGAGCCACCTCTGGAGTTCACCCTGCTCTGGGGGCCAGAAGCCACTGCACCCTCTCCAGCACTGGGACTCCAACTTTATTGTATCAAGCCCACATGGGTGGCTGAATGCCACAACCCCAGCTGCAAGGAACTAGGCTGAGGATCACCTATGACTTTGTTCCTGTACAGCAGGGATATCAACCCCTGCTGCTACACTTTCAGGCAGAGAAACCATCTGTCAGTTCACCACAGATTGAATCTACCCTTGAGCTGGCCAAACTGCTGCATGCCCTCCACAGGAGAGGCCCTGAGCCTCTGAGCAGCTGATACACCCCCAGGGTGGTGGAGTGGTTGCCCACCCATGCTCGAGACTAAGAAAGAGCCCCACATCCTTCCCCTTATTCCTGCAAACATGTCCCTAGCTGGCCCAATGGTCCTGGGACCCCAATAAGGACCTGAGAAATAGTCCCACAGGCCATCCCTGGAAGGCATTCCCCCAGGCTGGCCAGGAGCTGTTAGCTCGTGGTCCAAACCTGAGAAATAGCCTCATGGGCCACCTTTGCTGGTTATGTGCCAAACCAACTAAGCAGCCTTCCACCCACATCTTGGGCGTGAGAAACGGCTCTGCAGGTTGCCTCTGGCAGACACACCCCCAGGCCAGCTGAGTAGCTGTCTGCCTACATCCCAGGCCTGAGAAACAGCCCTGTGGGCCACCCCAGCAGAAACACCCTCACACCAGCCATGCAGCCATGTCACAGGCCTGAGAAACAATTCTGCAGGTTTCCATTGGCAGACATGCCCCCAGGCCAGCTGAGCAGCTGTGCACCTGCATACCAAGCCTGAGAAATAGTCCCACGGGTTACCCTTGATGGGCATGCCCCTAAACCAGTCGAACAGCCTTGCACCCACATTCCAAATCTGAGAAATAGCATCATATGCCCACTACCCCACCCAGCAGACACATCCCCAAGCCAACCATGCAGCCTTGAGCCTATATCCCAGGCCTAAGAAGCAGCCCTGTGGGCCACCCCAGCAGACATGCACCCAGGCCAGCCAAGAAGTTGTGAAATTGAAAACTTTTCAAGTCTCAGAGAGAGACGGACATCTGGGTCTGGGAAGCTCAAAGAATCCCACATGGATTCAACCCAAACAGATCCTCTTCAAGACACATTATAGTCAAATTGTTGAAAGGCAAAGAAAGAATTCTAAAAGCTTCAGGAGAGAAGTGTCAAGTCACATATAAGGAAATCTCCATCAGACTAGCAATGAATTTTTCAGCAGAAACCTTACAGGCCTGGAGAAAATGGGATGATATATTGAAAATACTGAAAGAAAAATATGCCATCCAAGAATAGTATACACAGCCAAGCTAACCTTAGGAAATGAAGGAGAAATGAAATCTTTCACAGACAAGCTATACCTAAGTGAATTCATCAGCACTATATCAGCCTTACAGGAAATCCTCAAGAGGATTGGATGTAAAAAGATGATAACCACCATTACGAGAACATGTGGAACTATAAAACTTACTGGTAGAGCTGATAAAGGAGAAAGAGAAAGAAATCAAACCTTATCACTACAGAATACCCCACCACAAAAATAAACAATAAGAGAGAAAGGAAAGAAGAAAGAATATACAAAACAACTGGAAATCAATTTTTAAAATGACAGGAGTAAGTCCTGACCTAATGAGAGGTGACAACGTGCCAGCAGCCCTCGCTTGCTCTCAGTGCCTCCTCGGCCTCGGCATCTGCTCTGGCCATGCTTGAGGAGCCCTTCAGCCCGCCACTGCACTGTGGGGGCCCCTCTCTGGGGCTGGCCGAGGCCAGAACCGGCTCCCTCTGCTCACGGGGAGGTGTGGAGGGAGAGGCGTGGGTGGGAGCATGCAGCCCTCATGGGCCGGTGGGGGTTCCAGGTGGGCGCAGGCTCAGTGGGCCTCACACTTGGCACAGCTGGCCGGCGCCTGCTGGGCTTGATCAGGGGACAAACTCCCTCCAGGCTGCTGGAGTGCCCAGGCTAGGTGCCACAAAGTCCCGTGGTGAGTGCCAGTGAGAAGTGAAGCTGGCTGGGCTTCTGGGACGAGTGGGGACTTGGAGAACTTTTCTGTCTAGCTAAAGGATTGTAAACGCACCAATCAGCACTCTGTGTCTAGCTAAAGGTTTGTAAATGCACCAATCAGCGCTCTGTGTCCAGCTAATCTAGCGGGGACTTGGAGAACTTTTGTGTCTAGCTAAAGGATTGTAAACGCACCAATCAGCACTCTGTGTCTAGCTAAAGGTTTGTAAATGCACCAATCAGCACCCTGTCAAAATGGACCAATCAGATCTCTGTAAAATGGACCAATCAGTAGGATGTGGGTGCAGCCAGATAATGGCATAAAAGCAGGCCACCCGAGCCAGCAGCGGCAACCCTCTTGGGTCCCCTTCCATGCTGTGGAAGCTTCGCTCTTTCGCTTTTCACAATAAATCTTGCTGCTGCTCACTCTTTGGGTCCACACCACCTTTATGAGCTATAACACTCACTGCGAAGGTCTGTAACTTCACTCCTGAAGCCAGCGAGACCACGAACCCACTGGGAGGAATGAGCAACTCCAGATGCACTGCCTTTAAGAGCTGTAACACTCACTGCAAAGGTCTGCAGCTTCACTCCTGAAGTCAGTGAGACCACGAACCCACCAGAAGGAAGAAACTCTGGACACATCTGAACATCTAAAGGAACAAACTCCGGAACAAACTCCAGACACACCATCTTTAAGAACTGTAACACTCACCACGAGGGTTTGCGGCTTCATTCTTGAAGTCAGCGAGACCAAGAACCCACCAATTCCGGACACATTTTGGCAACCATGAAGGGACTTTTAATTGCCATGCAGTGAGACTTTCACCTATCACCAAGCGGTGAGTACCACTGGACCGCTTTCACTTGCTATTCTGTCCTGTTTTTCCTTACAATTCAGGGGCTAAATACTGGGCACCTGTAGGCCAGTTAAAAGCGACTAGTGTGGCCGCCGGACTAAAGACACGGATATCAGGCTTTCTGGGAAAGGGCTCTCTAACGACCCCCAACTCTTCGGAGTTGGGAGCGTTGGTTTGCCTGGAACCAGCTTCTGCTTTTTCTGTACTCTGGGCTGAGCCAAGGGTTGACAGAGAGGAAAGCCATTGAGTTCTGGGGTCCCGACAACAAGTTGGTTGACCCTGCGGCCATGAGTGGAACTCTCAAAGGCATGTTGCCCAAGCGAGACTTGCCCATCTAGCCTATCTATGCTGACCCTTGCCTCCTGGGTCCTAATGCCTGTCAGACAAACTTCCTCTTGCCTCTCTTCTCCAAGGCTAGTCCCGCTTCTAAAAACCACTCCCTGCCTCTGGTACTTTTCCAGTTTCTCCTCTAAGGATGTTTTCTAGTATAAACGCCAGGACTCTGTTACCTTCTTTAGGCACCTGGGCTCACCAATCAGAAAGACATAATTTTTGCCCAAAGCTCCATCGTAGGAGGGACTATCTGGAATTTTAGGATCCCTCCTCAGACAAGAAGGCCTAACAAAAGCTATTCCTGAAGCTAGGATATGGGGAGCCTCTGAAATTTTATCCTTCCTATTCCTATAAGTGGGGACAAAAGGCATCACTCTTCCAACTCTGGAGATCCCTTCCCTCCCTCAGGGTATGGCCCGCCACTTCATTTTTGGGGCATAACACCTTTATAGGACATGGGTAAGGTCCCAATACTAACAGGAGAATGCTTAGGACTCTAACAGGTTTTCGAGAATGTGTTGGTAAGGGCCACTAAATCTGATTTTTCTTGGTCCTCTTTGTGGTCTAGGACGACAGGCAAGGGTGCAGGTTTTTGAGAATGCATCAGTAAGGGCCACTAAATCTGACCTTCCTCGTTCCTTCTTGTGTTCTGGGAGGAAAACTAGTGTTTCTGCTGCTGCATCAGTGAGTGTAACTATTCCGACGAGCAGGGTCCAGGGACCCTTGTGGGTTCTTGGGCAGGGGGAGAAACAAAACAAACCAAAGCCATGGGTGGTTTTGTCTTTCAGATGGGAAACACTCTGGCATCAACAGGCTCACCCTTGAAATGCATCCTAAATCATTGGGACCAATTTGACCCACAAACCCTGAAAAAAAGGCAGCTCATTTTTTTCTGCACTATGGCTTGGCCCCAATATTCTCTCTCTGATGGGGAAAAATGGCCACCTGAGGGAAGTGTACATTACAATACTATCCTGCAGCTTGACTTTTTTTGTAAGAGGGAAGGCAAATGGAATGAAATACCTTATGTCCAAGCTTTCTTTTCATTGAAGGAGAATACACAACTACATTTTACATCTCACAGGAGGACCTCTCAGCTTACCCCCATATCCTAGCCTCCCTATAGCTCCCCTTCCTATTAATGATAATCCTCCTCTAATCTCCCCTGCCCAGAAGGAAATAAGCAAAGAAATCTCCAAAGGACCACAAAATCCCCCAGGCTATCGGTTATGTCCCCTTCAAGCTGTAGGGGCAGGGGAATTTGGCCCAACATGGGTACATGTCCCATTCTCCCTCTCTGATTTAAAGCAGATCAAGGCAGACCTGGGGAAGTTTTCAGATGATCCTGATAGGTACATAGATGTCCTACAGGGTCTAGGGCAAACCTTTAATCTTACTTGGAGAGATGTCATGCTATTGTTACATCAAACCTTGGCCTTTAATGAAAAGAATGCAGCTTTAGCTGCAGCCCAAGAGTTTGGAGATACCTGGTATCTTAGTCAACTAAATGATAGAATGACAGCCAAAGAAAGGGACAAATTCCCTACCAGTCAGCAAGCCATCCCCAATATGGATCCCCACTGTGATCTTGACTCAGATCATGGGGACTGGAGTTGTAAACATCTGTTGACCTGTGTTCTAGAAGGACTAAGAAGAATTAGGAAAAAGCCCATGAATTATTCAATGATGTCCACCATAACTCAGGGAAAGGAAGAAAATCCTTCTGCCTTCCTCGAGCAGCTATGGGAGGCCTTAAGAAAATATACTCCCCTGTCATCCAAATCACTCAAGGGTCAATTGATTCTAAAAGATAAGTTTATTACTCAATCAGCTGCAGATATCAGGAGAGAGCTCCAAAAGCAAGCCCTAGGCCCTGAACAAAATTTGGAAACATTATTAAACCTGGCAACCTCGGTGTTCTATAGTAGGGACCAAAAGGAATAGGCCCAATAGGAAAAGGGAGACCAGAGAAAGGCCACAGCCTTAGTCATGGCCCTCAGACAAACAAACCCTGGAGGTTCAGAGAGGACAGAAAATGGAACAGGCCAATCACCCAGTAGGGCTTGTTACCAGTGTGGTTTGCAAGGACACTTTAAAAAAGATTGTCCAACGAGAAACAAGCCACCCCCTCATCCATGTCTGCTATGCCAAGGCAATCACTGAAAGGTGCGCTGCCCCAGAGGACAAAGGTTCTCTGGGTAGAAGCCCCCAACCACATGATCCAACAACAGGACTGAGGGTGCCCAGGGTTAGTGCCAGCTCACGTCATCACCCTCAGTGAGCCCCGGGTACATTTAACCATTGAGGGCCAGGAAATTGACTTCCTCCTGGACACTGGCATGGCCTTCTCAGTGTTAATCTCCTTTCCTGGACGACTGTCCTCAAGGTCCGTTACCATCCAAGGAATCCTGGGAGAGCCTGTAACCAGGTATTTCTCCCACCTCCTCAGTTGTAATTGGGAGACTTTGCTCTTTTCACATGCCTTTCTTGTCATGCCTGAAAGTCCCACACCCTTATTAGGGAGGGATATATTAGCCAAAGCTGGAGCTATTATCTACATGAATATGGGGAACAAGTTACTCATTTGTTGTCCCCTACTTGAGGGGTGAATCAACCGTGAAATCTGGGCATTGGAGGGACAATTTGGAAGGGCAAAAAAAATGCCTGCCCAGCCCAAATCAGGCTAAAAGATCCCACCACTTTTCCTTATCAAAGGCAATATCCCTTAAGGCCTGAAGCTCATAAAGGATTACAGGATATTGTTAAACATTTAAAAGCTCAAGGCTTAGTAAAGAAATGCAGCAGTCCCTGCAACACCCCAATTCTAGGAGTACAAAAACCGAATGGTCAGTGAAGACTAGTGCAAGATCTTAGACTCATCAATGAGGCAATAATTCCTCTATATCCAGTTGTACCCAACCCCTATACCCTGCTCTCTCAAATACCAGAGGAAGCAGAATGGTTCACTGTTCTGGACCTCAAGGATGCCTTCTTCTGTATTCCCCTGCACTCTGACTCCCAGTTCCTCTTTGCCTTTGAGGAGCCCACAGACCACATGTCCCAACTTATGTGGATGGTCTTGCCCCAAGGGTTTAGGGCTAGCCCTCACCTGTTTGGTCAGGTACTAGCCCAAGATCTAGGCCACTTCTCAAGTCCAGGCACTCTGGTCCTTCAGTATGTGGATGATTTACTTTTGGCTACCAGTTTGGTAGCCTTGTGCCAGCAGGCTACTCTAGATCTCTTGAGCTTTCTAGCTAATCAAGGGTACAAGGTGTCTAGGTCGAAGGCCCAGCTTTGCCTACAGCAGGTCAAATATCTAAGCCTAATCTTAGCCGGAGGGACTAGGGCCCTCAGCAAGAAATGAATACAGCCTATACTGGCTTACCCTCGCCCGAAGACATTAAAACAGTTGCAGGGGTTCCTTGGAATCACTGGCTTTTGCCGACTATGGATCCCTGGATACAGCGAGATAGCCAGGCCCCTCTATACTCTAATCAAGGAGACCCAGAGGGCAAATACTCATCTAGTAGAATGGGAACCAGGGTCAGAAACAGCCTTCAAAACCGTAAAGCAGGTCCTAGTACAAGCTCCAGCTTTAAGCCTTCCCACAGGACAAAACTTCTCTCTATATGTCACAGAGAGAGCAGGGATAGCTCTTGGAGTCCTTACTCAGACTCGTGGGACAGCCCCACAAACAGCGGCATACCTAAGTAAGGAAACTGATGTAGTAGCAAAAGGCTGGCCTCACTGTTTAAGGGTAGTTGTGGCAGTGGCTGTCTTAGTGTCAGAGGCTATCAAGATAATACAAGGAAAGGATCTCACTGTCTGGACTACTCATGATGTAAATGGCGTACTAGGTGCCAAAGGAAGTTTATGGTTATCAGACAACCACCTACTTAGATACCAGGCATTACTCTTTGAGGGACCAGTGCTTCAAATACATACATGCATGGCCCTCAACCCTGCCGCTTTTCTCCCAGAGGATGTGGAACCAATCGAGCATGACTGCCAACAAATTATAGTCCAGACTTATGCCACCAGAGATGATCTATTAGAAGTCCCCTTAACTAATCCTGACCTTAACCTATATACCAGTGGAAGTTCATTTGTGGAGAATGGGATATGAAGGGCAGGTTGTGCCATAGTTAGTGATGTAACCATACTTGAAAGTAAGCCTCTTCCCCCAGGGACCTGCGACCAGTTAGCAGAACTAGTGGCACTTACCCGAGCCTTAGAACTGGGAAAGGGGAAAAGAATAAATGTGTATACAGATAGCAAGCATGCTTATTAAATCCTACATGCCCATGCTGCAATATGGAAAGAAAGGGAGTTCCTAACCTCTGGGAACCCCCATTAAATATCACAAGGAAATCATGGAGTTACTGCACATAGTGCAAAAACCAAAGAAGATGGCAGTCTTACACTCCCAAAGCCATCGAAAAGAGGAAGGAGAGGGGAGAACAGCAGCGTAAGTGGCTGGCAGAGGCAAGGAAAGACCAGCAGAAAGGAAAGAGAAAGAGACAGAAAGTCAGAGAGAGAGAAAGAGACAGAGAGAAGAAGAGACAGACAGAGAAAGAGAGAAAGAGAAAGGAAGTCAAAGAGGAGACAGAGAGGAAGAGACAGACAGAAAGTCAAAGAGAGAAGGAAAGAGAGGAAGAGACAAAGAAGTCAAGGAGAGAGAAAGAGATAGAAGTAGTAAAAAAAAAAAAAAAAAAAAGCGTACCCTATTCCTTTAAAAGCCAAGGTAAATTTAAAACCTATAATTGATAATTGAAGGTCTTCTCTGTAGCCCTATAACACTCCAATACCACCTTGTTGTCAGTGTAAACAAGGGCATAGCCTGAAAGCACTGAGGCCACTGACAACCCGTAGCCTTCCTATCAGAAATCCTTAACCCGGCAGGTTTCCTAACAGGGTATCTAAATCTGAAGGTCCGATCAGACATAGGAGGAACTCCCTTTAGTACAGGACAATAGATGTTTCCTCCTGGGCGATTAAAGAAAAAGACACAATGGGTATTAAAATTGCCTAACAATTGGTCTGCTCAAACGTGCAAGCTGTTTGCATTCAGCCAAACCTTAAAGTCCTTACAGAATCAGGAAGGAGCCGTCTATACCAATTTTAAGTTAATATGGACGGAACAAGGTCTTATTAATAGCAAAGAATAATTGAAATCCCAAACTTACAAGGTTTTCAACATAAGTAAAGTTTGCTAAAAGTTAACAGTGTAAACATATATTATCCTAACCTCTAATCTTGTGAAAATCAGACCCTATCAGTACCCCTCAAAGCTCAAATCCGTCAGCACAGAGCCATACAATTAATACCCCTACTTATAGGTTTAGGAATGGCTACTGCTACAGGAACTGGAATAGTCAGTTTATCTACTTCATTATCCTACTACCACACACACTCAAAGGATTTCTCAGACAGTTTGCAAGAAATAATGAAATCTATCCTTACTCTACAATCCCAAATAGACTCTTTGGCAGCAGTACCGCTGGGACCTAGACCTCCTCACTGATGAGAAAGGAGTACTCTGCACCTTCTTAGGGGAAGAGTGTTGGTTTTACACTAACCAGTCAGGTATAGTATGAGATGCCACCTGGCGTTTATAGGACAAGGCTTCTGAAATCAGACAACGCCTTTCAAACTCATACCAACCTCTGGAGTTGGGCAACAAGGTTTCTCCCCTTTCTAGGTCCAATGGCAGCCATCTTGCTGGTACTCACCTTTGGGCCCTGTATTTTTAACCTCCTTGTTAAATTTGTTTCCTCTAGAATTGACGCCATCAAGCTACAGATAGTCTTACAAATGGAACCCCAAATGAGTTCAACTAACAACTTCTACCAACGACCCCTGGACTGACCTGCTGGCCCTTTCACTGGCCCAGAGAGCTCCCCTCTGGAGGACACTACAACTGCAGGGCCCCTTCTTCACCCCTATCCAGCAGGAAGTAGCTAGAGCAGTCATCGGCCAAATTCCGAACAGCAGTTGGGGTGTCCTGTTTAGAGGGGGGATTGAGAGGTGACAACATGCCAGCAACCCTCGCTTGCTCTCAGTGCTACACAGATAAGCCTCAGAAACATTATGCTTAGTGAAATAAAGCAGACACAAAAGGTCATAAATTATATTGTTTCACTCATAAGAAATATTTGGACTAAGTAAATGCATAGAAATGGAAAGCAAATTACTTGTTGACAAGAGCTGTATAAAAGAGGGAATGGGGAGTGACTGCTTTATGGTATAGTGTGTCCTTTCGGAGTGATGAAAATGTTTTGGACCTAGATAGAGGTGTTCCTCATACAACACTGTGAATGGACTGAATGCTACTATATTGTAAATTTAAATAGTTAATTCTATGTTGTGTGAATTTTAACTCACATCTTTGCCAACACTTACTACTTTCTGCTTTTTAAAAAAATTCTAGCCATCCTAGTAAGTGTACATTGATATCTCATTGTGGTTTTCATTTAAATTTCCCTAATGGTTAATGATGTTGAGCATCTTTCAATGTGCTTAATGACCATTATATATCTTCTTTGAAGAATGTCTATTCAAGTCCCTTGCCCATTTTAAATTGGATTATCTTTTCGTTACTCAGTTACAAGAGTTATTTACAGGCCGGGCGCGGTGGCTCATGCCTGTAATCCCAGCACTTTGGGAGGCCGAGGTGGGCGGATCACGAGGTCAGGAGATTGAGACCATCCTGGCTAACACGGTGAAACCCCGTCTCTACTAAAAATATAAAAAATTAGCCAGGCGAGGTTGCGGGCACCTGTATTCCCAGCTACTTGGGAGGCTGAGGCAGGAGAATGGCATGAGCCCTGGGGAACGGAGCCTGCAGTGAGCCGAGATCGCGCCACTGCACTCCAGCCTGGGCGACAGCAAGACTCCGTCTCAAAAAAAAAAATTTAAAAGAAAAAAGAGTTATTTACATATTCTGAGTACTAGACATTTATCAGATATGATTTCTCTAGTTCTATAGGTTGTTTTTACTTTCTTAATAGTGCCCTTTGATGCACAGAAGGTTTTAATTTTGATGAAGTCCAATTTATGTATTTTTTCTTATGTTGCTTGTGTTTTTATGATACCTAAGAATCTATTGCCAAATCTAAGGTCATGAAGATTTTGGAGCATGTGTTCTTGTACTGTTTCCCAATGCTTCCAAATTGGATTAACTCCAGTGGTAGCGGCCTTAATATTTAACATTTTACTGGCTACATTCCTTGTCTTTCTGTTTCACTTCTCACTTACCTCCTGATTTTCTCCACACCTCCAAAATAAACAACTTGCACACAGGGGCATTGGCTCAAAGTCTGATTCTAGAAGAAACTGATCTAAGACAACCAGGATTGGGGCTCGACATCTTTAACTTAAAACCCCACTGAAATTTCATCATTTTCTTCTGGCATTCAGCCTTGTAAAGAAAAATGATGCAATCTGTTCTCTATGCAGGTGTTGTAAGGCTCCTTTAAATATCCATAAACCAAAAATGAAACTGTGTATTCATATTAAGTGAAATTTCTTTTTTTCTAGATTGTGGCACTAACTTTTTCTTCTCCACATTTGATATGCCAAAAAGCAAGATTACAACAAATTTAGTTTAAAGATCTAATTGGTTTTTATTTGCAATTCTAGAATTGAGCAACATCTCAATCTATAAAATGGAATAGATATTCTAATGAGCTGAGCAGAAGATGTTGGCTTTATAGTCAGAAAAAAGGCTGAAGAAAGCAGAAATAAGGAATGAAAAATAGATTTGGTCATTTCAAAGTTGCTTTCCTCATAGAGTTAAAAGAAAGGGAACTTTCTTATCATGCCAGCTCATGTAAACTGGGTCCTTCTGATTGGTTATTGTGACTCTCCTGATTTTCTGGAAATCTGGCCCATTTCAGAGTTCAGTTAAGTGGCAACTAGCACTAAGAATTCTATTCTGGTTTGGTCTGGTGTGCTGGGGCCTCATACAGGAGCTTAATCCAAAATAATGGCCTCTCTTGAATTTATTTGAAATGTATTTTGGCTTTAAAAGGTTTTATTATATATTGTTGACCATTGCTTTTCCAGTTTTTAAAAAATCATTTTATAAAGAAAGAATTATAAACTGAATATTTAAATTTTGCCCAGTATCATTCTTGTATTCATTTTCTGCCACAGTAATTCTACTCTGAACTGCTTCTAACAAGAATTTTAAGCCTAGCATAGTTTTGGTTCGAGTACATTTATTTCTCCTCTGTTTGACATTTCTCATCTTATATTTCACTGTTCATCTCATGTAATCCTAATTTATCATATTTTGCTTAAAACATGAAAAATTTATTCTAAAAACTTCTATTTTGCAGAGCAAAACCTCCGTAGGTAGACTCCCTGCTTAATTATTAGAACTATAGTTTTCTTTGTTTTAGAATTGATATACAGGCCCTATGCTTGCTGTCATTTTTATTTTCATTCTGCTTTAAACAAAAGTAGCTTCATTCAGATCAACAGAATGCCAACAAGCAAGTGCTGCTCTACTTTGAACTTCATGAGGTTCCCTTCTCAAATCTGAAGCTCAAGGGCAAGCTAATTTTTATAGGTCCAAGTAAAATGTATAGTCCTTAACCTTAACTTATACTTTTTAGACTACTACCCCAGGCTGAGGTAAGAGCTTCTCTGGCCCCATTTGCTTGCTTTCTAACAGTGAGGAGGTGTTTTTATCCCAAGTAATATGAAAACCCACAGGCTTTTCCTATCTCTTTCCCTTCCTCTTGCTTAGTGCTGATTTCACAAGATAGAGAATATCACTATTATTCCCCCGTCTGTACCATGCTTCACCTCAAAGGACTTGCAGTTTTAATCTGTAACATATCTGGAAAAAAAAAAAAAACAACAAAAAACAGTTGCTATGTTTGAGTATGGGGAGGAATCAAAGGGAGAGTGAGGAAGGTTGGTGGGATCTGAGAGGTGAGAAATGTCTGACAAAGTTTCCTTTCCAGAAGTTTGCATATGAGTTGATTTCTTATTCTGATCTGTGTGGATTGGGACAGGGAATTATTTCCTTCTAGAAAAACCTCTGTAGAGTGTTGGTTGTCTTTAGCTTTAGTTTGTCTCATTTTGGTGCATTTTTTATGCTTCTATCCATAGGAAGTTGGAAAGGGTCACATCCCAAAACTGAAAAGCAAAACCAAAGTCTGCATATGAAACTATGAGGTTGTGTGTCTGTGTCTGGAAGAAAGTTGGAGGTGGATAACGTGCAAGGACTTAAATAGAGTGCACTTTGTTCACTGCTGCCTTCTTCAGATTTGAAGATCACAGATGGGGTTTGATAACGTGGTGCCCCAGCCCAAGAAAAGACGACAATAAAATAATGAAGGAGGAACCTAAGAGCAGCTAAGCATGCCTAAAGTAGGAATATATTTCTAGCTCATTTCTTCCCCACTCATAACTATTGAAAAGCAGCTGGCTGTTTCTTTAATTTAATCCTTTGTCTATCTTAGAGTTGACAAAGCAGGTTCTATTTAAAGGAGCCTTTTACATTTTCAAAGGAGAAAAAAAATGGGGTGGGGGTGGCATATTATATGAGGAAACTTTAAAAACTCTTCACAAAATATATATGTTGCAGGAGAAAAGTATCAGGGGAGAACCAAATGAGTTCGATGTTTCCTTGTTTCTGCAGTCTCTTGACCTGAGTTCTAATCCTGAATCACTGCCACATGACCTTGGAAGGTCATTTCATTTGTTTGGATCGCAGGTACTCTTCCAATCTTCTGGAATTCTTCCTGGGGCTTTAAATGTGTGTATCTTCCACTCTGAATTTCCTCCTGTGACCTGCCAAATTCACAAATAACACGGGAGAGGCTGTCGCACTGCATTTAGTTCTGCAGGATCACCAGCATGTGGGTGGATTCAAATCTATGATCTTACTATTTCATTTAACCCAGATGCTGCATTTCTTCTGCCTTCTCAGCTTAAGTGAGGTAGACTTGGACTGAAATGAACTGGCTTCATCCCAATCTGGAGAAGACAGATACTACCTGGCAAAAGCAAATATCTGGAGGAACAGACAGTTTGTCCCTTCTATTGAAAGCACACGTCTAGCTTTAGCTGGTAACCTCTTCAGTCTTAAAGCTATATTGAATTCATAATCAGAGCACTGGAAGAGACAATAAGAACTCATCTCTTGTGTTCCTTTGACTGTTATAGAAAACTTCTATTTTCCCAGATAAATTGGTAAACCATCCATCCACCTTTGATTAGCCATTATAATGCAAGCAACCTTTGACACAGATGACCCATATCAGCAAATAACCCATGAGTTCAATATATTAGACCTTGAGATGTATTATGTTATTTTTTTCCCCATCAGCTTATACTTCTGCTCAGGAAAAAAGAAAATCTGCATATTTCATCCAAAGATGACTACTACTTTTTCACATTTTAATATCTCTCAAATTAGAATGCATTTTACAATTGATGTTTTGTCATAATTTTTATTAGCAGGATCTTAGAGGTGATGTTATTAATATGTTAAAAATTATTACATCTTAAAGTTGATAGTGTCTTAGATTATGTTAAATATGGAAGTTGTAATTTCTTGCAAAGCTTTTGTCTTGATAGTACATGGTATTGAGGAGGCAATAGAAAGTAAACTTAGGAAGTGAACTTGAGAATTAGAGATTAATTAATTTAAATTACCATTTAAATTAAATGGTATGTGTTTGCCTTATGTCTTGCCTGTGGTCAGCTTTTTGAGTGCAGAATTTTACTGTATATTTTACTTATTCAATACGGTACCTTATTTATTATGAGCATTTTTATCTACATTGTCATAACACAAATACGTAGTCATTCATTGTGAGAGAACAAGATCACTAAAGAAAAGAGAAGAAGCTAGCATTAAATTTCCAACTTACTATTTGTGTTGACCAAATTTATATGACAGCAATCTTTTGTATTACTTTATATAGGAATTTTTCTATGATAAACTAAAATATTAGGAAAATTCATTAGGTATATCTGTAATCAAGAATCTCTTATGCCAGTGATTTTCAAACTTGGTTGCACATGAAAATCACTAAGAAGATTTTAGAAAATACCTGTGAAGTCTGGACTCGATCACACACTAAATTAAAGCAGAGATTCTGGGAGTAGGGTCCTGGCATTTTTAAAATACACTTCTCCAACAATAGAGAAAATGAACAATTGTATGTGAACAAATTGGATAATCTAGATGAAATCGACAAATTCCTGGAAACACATAACCTACCAAGACCAAATCATGAAGAAATAGAAAATCTGAATAGACCTATGGCTAGCAAGGAAACTGAAGCAGTAATAAAAAACCTTCTAGCAGAGAAAACCCTTTGACAAGATGGCTTCATTGGTGAGTTCTTTCAACCATGTAAAGAAGAATTAACATGAATCCTTATCATGTTTTTCTTCAAAAAAATTGAAGCGAACATTTCCTAACTTATTCTATGAAGCCAACATTACCCTGATACCAAAGCCAGACAGACACTATAAGAAAACTATAGACCACTATCTTTGATGAGTAATCAAATAAAAATCCTCAACAAAATACTAGTAAACAAAATTCAACTGCATGTTAAAAGGATTGTAACCCATGATCAAGTGGGATTTAATTCTGAAATGTAAGAGTGGTTCAATATTTGAAAATTAATCAATACAACACATCAACAGAATGAAAGGAAAAAAATAACATGACCATCTCAATTAATACAAAAAAGGCCTTTGACAAAATTCAACACCCTTTCCTGATAATACACTCAATATTAAGAATGGAAAGAATTTATCTAAACATAGTAAAGTCCTACCTGAGAAAGTCACAGCTAACACTATGCTCAATCATAAAAGACTGAAATATTTTCCTTTAAGATGAGGAACAAGGCAAGCCTGCTTTCACCACTTCTCTTCAACACAGTACTGGATGTCCTAGCCAGAGCAATCAGTCAAGAAAAAAATGGCATTTAAATTGGATAGAAACAACACAATTATTATCAGTCACAGGCAACATAATCTTATATGTAGGAAACCCTAAAGATTACAAACAGACACACAGAACAGCTAGAACTAAAAAATGAATTCAGCAATTTCAAAATCCAAAATTAACACTCATAAGTCAATGGCATTTCCGTAACAATATACAGTCCAAAAAGGAAATTAAGAAAACAATTTTGCTTACAATAACATCAAAAATAATACTTTGGAATAAACTTAACCAAATAGATGAAAGACTTGTAGAGTGAAAATTACAAAATGGTGCCAAAGGAAATTAAAGAAACAAGTAAGTAGAAAGATATTCCATGTTCATAAATTTGAAACATTAGTATTTTTAAGATATCAATAATACCCAAGGCAATAAAGAAAATGTGGTACATATACATGGTAGAATACTGTGCAGTCATAAAAAAGAATGAAATCACATTCTTTGCAGCAACATGGGTGGAGCTGGAGGCCATTATCCTAAGCAAATTAACACAGAAAAACAGAAAACCAAATACTGCATGTTCTCACTTATAAGTGAGAGCTAAACATGGAGTACACATGGAGACAAAGAAGGAAACTATAGATACCAGGGCCTACTTGAGAGTGGAGGATGGGAAGGATTGAAAAATGACCTATCAGGTATTATTCTGGTTCCTCAGGTGACAAAATTGTCTGTACACCAAACCCCCATGACATGCAATTTACCCATGTGACAAACCTGCATGTATACCACTTGAACCTAAAATAAAAGTTGGAAAAGAAAAACAATACCCAAAGCAATCTATAGATTCAATTCAATCACTATCAAAATCCCAGAATTCCAAAATTCTGTTTCATACAGAAATAAAAATAAGCCATTTTAAAATGTACATGGAATTTCAAGGAACCCCAAATAATCAAAACCATCTTTAAATTGTAGAGCAAATGTGAAGGTCTCATACCTCCTGATTTCAAAACTCACTACATACCTACACTAATCAAAACAGTGCAGTACTGGCATAAAAACAGACATATAAATCGATGGAGTAGAATAGAGCCCAGAAACAAACCCTTATAATATGTAGCCAAATGATTTCAACAAGGGTGCCAAAACTATTCTGAAGTAAAAAGTTTTGTCAGCTGATGATGCTGGGTAAACTGGATATCCACATTCCAAAGAATGAAGTTGGACCCTTAACACCATATACAAAATTAAACTCAAAATTAATCAAAGACCCTAATGTACAAACAAACTATATAACTCTGAGAAGAAAACATAAGGTAAAAGCTGCATGACATTAGATTTGGCAATGATGTATTAAATATAAAACCAAAACCACTAGCAACAAAAGAAAAAACAGATAAATTGGACTTTGTTAAAATGAACAACTTGTGTGCTTCAAAGGACACTAACAACAGGGTGGCAGGGTGTGATGACTTACACCTGTAATCCCAGCACTTTGGGGAGCCAAAGCAGACAGATCACTTGAGCTCAGGAGTTCAAGACCAACCTGAGCAACATAGCAAGATCCCATCTCTACCAAAAAAAAATTGGCCAGTTGTGGCGGGGTATGGTATGCCATGATTATGCCACTGCATTCCAGCCTGGGAGATGTAGTGATACCCTGACTCAAAAAAATTTGTGTATCTTAACAACAGAGTGAAAACGCAACCCAAAGAGTGGAAGAGAATATTTGCAAATCATGTATCTGATGAGGGGTTGATATTCAAACTATATATTAAAAAAAAAACTTTTACTCAGCAACAACAGAAAAAGCCAACCTGATTAAAAACTGAGCAAAAGACTAGAATGGATATTTCTCCACAGAACATATGCAATGGCCAATAAGCATATGAAAAGATGCTCTATATCACTCATCACTAGGGAAATAGAAATCAAAATTATAATGAGATAACACTTCACATTCATAGGATGGCTATTTTTTTAAATTTAAAAACAAAACGGAAAATAATAGGTGTTGGTGAAGATGTGGAAAAATTGAAGCCTTTATTTATTGCTGGTGGGAATAAAATATGGTGCAGCTGCTATGGAAAATGATATGATGGTTGCTTAAAAAGTTAAATTAGAATTTCCCTGTGATCCAGCAATTCCATTTCTGGTTATATATACAAAACAATTAAAAGCAGTAACTTGAACAGATATTTGTACACCCATGTTCATAGCAACATTATTCACAATAACCAAAAGATGGGAACAACTCAAATGCACATTGACTGACAAATAGATAAACAAACAGTAGAATATACATATAGTGGAGTATTATTCAGCCTTTAAAAAAAAAAGAAATTAAGAAAAATTTGACACATGCTTCAAGATAAATGAACCTTAAGGACATTATGCTAAGTGAATAGCCCAATATAAATGACCAATACTAGGTGATTCCACTTATATGAGATACCTAGAGTAGTCAAATTCATAGAGACAGAAAGTAGAATGCTGGTGACAGGGGCTGGGGGAGGGGGAAATGGGGAGTCATTTAATGAATACAGAGTTTCCATTTGGGAAGATGAAAAAGTTCTGGAGATGAATGGTGGAGATGGTACACAGCAATGTGAATGTACTTAATGCCAGTGAACTATGCACCTAAAAATAGTTACAATGGCAAATATTATGTTATGTATATTTGCCATAATTAAACATTAAATTCAAAAAAACCCAAACTTCCCCAGGCGTTTTCATACAGCCAAGTTTGAGAACCATGGAGTTATACCAAATGATTGTCTCAAGTAAGCCTGGACACATTTGACAGTTGAGTTCTTCTAGATGGAAACACAAACGGTTTTGCTCCATGCGATTCCCTGCTTCTAACACAGAGCTTGTCACAATTTATAATAATCCTATCTCCTTTATATTGACCCCAATTATGTGTCAGAAATTGTGCAAGGCCAATTGTTCTCAAAGATTAGCGTGCATCAGAATTACCTGGATGACTTGATAAAACTTGACCAGAAGAGTTAGGTATAGGTTATTGCGTTTCTAATAATTCCCTAATGGTGTTGGGCTGGGGACCACAGGTTGAGCACTACTTTGCCAAGCACCTTTTATGTTACAACAACATGTACAACAATCTATGGGGAAGGTATCATAAGGGAGGCTGAGGCATCAACATATTAAATGATTTGTACAACATTACACGCCAGGAGGTATCAGAGATGGGATTAAATCCCAGGACTCTCTTACTCCCAGTCCCCTCCAATTATTGCCATTTCACCGTGCTCTGCAAACGTGTCATTAAATGGATAAATATCTTTAGTAGGTTCTCAGCAGACTTCAATGGAAAACTAAAATTTGCTTAAAAATATTTTTTTAAAAAACTTAAAGTCAGTGGAGGGGACAGTCTTTTACAGACTTACTCAGTAGCAGTCCAAGGTGGTGTTTGCAAATGTCATCACTTGCCCATATTCAATCACATGCCATTTGGATCTAGCAGTGAATTTCACTTGTTAGCAATTTAGCTGACGGTACCCTTCCCCTGTCAAATTATTTTCAGGCATGCTCCCTCTTTGGTGCTAGAAATGTCTTCTCTCTCTTTCTATATATTTTTCTAACTTATTAATTCAACTTACCACTATCCCCAAGGAGGCCATTTTCCATGCCCACTGGTTGGTTTTTGTCTCCCCTCTTTAATCCTTATTTCTATTCACAAATAGACTTAAACAACTTCTTTTTTGCCCAAACGGTTCAAACATTATGTTATAAAAATAATGGGCAAAGAAGGACTTTCCCCTTATTAATATCTACAGAAAAGGGGAAAAAAATCAGAGAAAGAAAAAGAAAACACATGTAGAGAAAAATAGGAAATAGCAAATAAGTTGGAATTCCCAACTAGTTGATATTCTTTATTCAAATGTTTACTTAATAATAGCAACAGCTACCATTGATTGGGTACATATTAGGTGTCAAACTCTGTGCCAAGTAAATAGCTAAAAAATACTATCTGTTTTAGTCCTGCCAAGAAAAACATCTGAGGTGGCTATTTTTATCGCCATTTTATAGATGTGGAAATAGGCATAGACAAAGTTAGGTAACTTGTCAGATGTAGATAGCTGATATGCCTAGCTCTAAAAGTTGAGGCTTTCACCCATTAACATCTTTTCTGCAAAAATGAAGGGATAGTAATGGATAAATATCTCTAGTTCACTCAGGTGATCTCACCACTTACAATCCATTCTCATGCTGCTAACAAAGACATACCTGAGTCTGAGTAATTTCTTTTTTTTTTTTTTTTTTTTTGAGACGGAGTCTCGCTCTGTTGCCCACGCTGGAGTGCAGTGGCGCGATCTCGGCTCACTGCAAGCTCCGCCTCCCGGGTTCACGCCATTCTCCTGCCTTAGCCTCCTGAGCAGCTGAGAGTACAGGCGCCCACCACCACGCCCGGCTAATTTTTTGTATTTTTAGTAGAGATGGGGTTTCACTGTGTTAGCCAGGATGGTCTCAATCTCCTGACTTCGTGATCTGCCCGCCTCTGCCTCCCAAAGTGCTGGGATTACAGGCTTGAGCCACCGCGCCCAGCGAGACTGAGTAATTTATAAAGGAAAGAGGTTTAATTGACTCACAGTTCAGCGTGTCTGGGAAGGCCTCAGGAAAGTTACAATCACGGCGGAAGGGGAAGCAAACACGTCCTTTTTCACGTAGTGGCAAGAAGTGCTGAGCCAAAGTGGGGAAAAGCTCCTTATAAAACCATCAGATTAACCTACTCTCATGAGAACAGTGTGGGGGAAACCACTCCCATGATTCGATTATCTCCACCTGGTCCCTCACAAGACACGTGGGGATTACGGGAACTACAATTCAAGATGAGATTTGGGTGGTGACACAGCCGAACCATATCACCACTCAAGGAGAACACGTTGAGATTGTTTTCTACTTTGTGAAACATTTCAAAGTAGAATCCCTGATACTAATGACTTGGTCATCTCTCGCTCACTAAAGTCGGCTTTGTGTATAAGTAGAGGATATCTAAGGAGGTTAGTCATGTATGGCTTTAGAGAATGGTCTTTGGAGTCAGACTGCCTCAGTTTGGATCCTAATTCTACCACAATATCTGTATAATATTGGACAAAATACTGAATCTCTCTGTGCCTCACTTTCCTTAATGGTAACACGAGGTAATAATTGTACCTAACTCATAACAATGTTGTGAAGATTAGCATGGACATCATGTACAGCTCTTAGAATAGTGCCCGGAACATTGAATGCTTAATACACATAGCTATTATTAGTGTTATTATCAAATTTCAAATAGTGGCCTTATTTTATAATTATCATCTATTTTATGGCAAGATTTGGAGTGTTTTTTACCAATTTCTAGATTGTGTTTTTCCATCTACCCTCATGGTATAACATGATACCATTAGAGCTATCAGGTGGCAAGACAGATGAGTGCCTTTTCCCATTTGTCTTTCTGTGAGTAATTACATCATAATTCTCCTGGAGGCTATAGCTGTGAAAGAACAACTCAGATTAACCATACCACCAAAATTTGTCCTGCAATTTCATGCAAAGTGACTTCACACAAGAAAAAATGTTTTCCTAAAATATGTGTATAGGCTATTGTAATATTTGTGGTTGCAAAATGAAAGCTATTCCTTCCTTTTGCTACACCCTTCAATATTTGCTCAGGTGCAATTTGATTTCCACATGAACTGATTCAGAAAACTTACCAGAGTTACAGAGAAGCTGTCATTTCAGCCTCTAGTAACTTCTCAAACAAAATCACTTTCCCGAAAAATGGTTACATAAAGTACCTCTAATAAATCTCTTCGTGTATTTGTGCCTGATTATAAACCCCATCGGCAATCTGCCTTTAAGCATGAGCACATTTTTAATCAAGCAGTAAAGTATTCCGAGTATAAAGTTCATCAAAGCTGGAGCTGCAGTGAACTGTTTTGTCCCCCTGGTAAAGGAGCTTGGCTGGAGAGTTTATTGCAGTTGCCCCAAAGTTCTGTTCCCTGTGCGCCTGACTGCGCTTCCCAAGTGGCAGGGAAGGGTAAACTTAAAGGAGATCATGTTGATTTTCTTATACTAGGGCCCGTCATTCCAGATGGATCGCTTTTTTTCTTAACAAAAGAAGAGTTCACAAAGTCTATCCCTCAAAGACATCTTCATTCGACAATCATATGAGTAATAAAATAATAAGTAATGAGACAAAGCTCAGTTAACACCAGAAGTAGATTTTATATTTACAAAATATGAGAAGAAGTAGGCAAATTATGCAAAGGAGCATGGAACGCATGCTGTTTCAGCTCAGGGCCACTGTAGTTGGATTCCTATAGGATGTGTGATCGTTGGTAACTCCTCTACCAGGGCAGTGGCTTCTGAACTTGAAGCAGTCCACTAGTAATTTTATGTCTCTCTGTTTGCTGATTTATGTTTTAAATAAATGACATGCATTCCTTTAAATTGTAGTTGGAAATGTTTCACTGTTTTTTTTCCACGCCTGCATATATAATGACACAAAAGAGAATGAAGAGTAAAGTAATTTAAATGTGCTCCTTCACTTGCTTTAAACTGAGATGTGATTAATAAGTGAAGAAAAACATTTTTTAAGTAAATACCATTTTCAAATGTACATTATTTTATTTCAAAAATATGAGGTATATCTTCAGCTCTATGTTTACATGTATATTACATACATTTTTATTTTTATCTATGCTGTTGACTTAAAAATAAATATTTAGACAGAATTTACAGTTAGCAGGTCAATGAGGCACTTAAAGTAGTCTACAAGTTCAAAAGCCAATAAAGTTTAGGACTCTGCAAATCTGGCTGGTATTCCAAGTTAAGCCATGTGTCATCAGCGACCTAGAAATGATGGTGTTGTTACTTTGAGGGAATGTGCAAATGATGAGCCTGGAGAGATAAATTAAGAAAGAGAAAACAAGCTAGAATAGTCTGGATGCTACACATTACTTAATTATCAGATTATGATTGAGTGTCTTGGTCCAAATGCTTAGTATAGTATGTCCTCACTTAACGTCATCAATAGATTTTAGGAAACTGTGATTTAAAGCGAAATGACATATAATAAAACCAACTTGACCACAGGCTAACTGATATAAACAAGAGTTAAGTTCCTACAGTGTATTTATGGTCACACAAACATCATTAAACTTCTATATAAAGGCCCAAACACTTCTAATATTAAACGTTGAAATAAATGTGGGTTACACATTCATTTGAGAAAGATGAACACAAACAAACAAGATAATTATTTACCCGCTGATTCCAGCTCAGGCTTGTGGGTGGCCAGAGCCTATCCTGAGAACTCAGGGCAGGAACCAGCCCTGAACAGGCCTCCATCCCATCACGGGGCACACTCACACATACCCACACTCACACTGAGACCATGTAGACACACCAGTTAACCTAACAGGCACAGCTTTGGGATGTGGGAGGAAACCAGAGGACCCAGAGAAAACTCAAGCAGACATGAGGAGAGTATGCAAACTCCACACAGACAGTGGCCCTAGCCAGGAATCCATTTTTCTCATCAACATTATCAGGAAATGATGTTGAATGAAACTATGTTATTCCAGGACCTTCTGTATTATGCTGATTCTTACAAGAAAAATACAGATGAAGATAGTTTTTGATCTGATGCTTTAATTCAGATTATTAAGTCAAAATAAGAGTAGCTCCCACTAATAACTACTATTCATGTCTTGTCTTTGCTATGAGGATCTTCTTGCCAGCCTGATGTTTCCATTGTAATCTTTCCCAAATGCTATATCCAAGGTTACTCAACTCTCGTCCTGCAGGACTCCTTAGAACCAGTGTCCTACGTCATTGACTCATCCCAGCTCCTTCTCTTTCATAAAGCCCAATACGTCTCATTTTTTCTCTACATTCCTCTACTATGTTATTATATTTTCATATATTTTTTAGCTGTCTAGATGAATAGTGTCTCTTCCATTGTCTGTGAATTTTGCTATGTTCATGGCACAGACAAAAATCATTCCATAAATGCCCTCCCCACCTCTCTCCCAAAAAGCAGCCAACTACAATATGTGCAATCAGATTTCTTAAAACATGGAGGCAGAGATTGTCATTACTGCTTGATAGTGACCTGGCCTAGTAAAGAAAGGCTGTATGCAAGTTAAAAATGAAGATTTTTTTCCTCAGTAACAAGTTTGAAATAAATTGAATTGAGACACTTTTGTTTGTACAGGTGGAAGGGATCTTAGTGATTACTTAGTCCTACAACTTCATTTAATAAAAGAGACACCTGAAGCCCAGAAAGATGGTGTCTTAGCTCTGTGTAGCCACGACAGACCTGGAGCCAAGTCCCTGGACTCCCAGGCAGGCTCTTGCCACTGCTCCACTCAGCTTCTCTGAGCCTGCCAAGTGATGGCCATTCTTGAGCTGAATCACTAGGAATGAATTCTCCAGCCCATGTTCTTATCCATGTTTAATCACAAAATGATGGCAATTTTGAGTAAATCACTAAAATTCTCTGTATCTCATTGTTTCCATTTGTAAAATGTGTGGCCCTTCATTTGCATCAGTTCATTCAGAGGGATAAGTTATAGGTGTGTATATACATATTAAATGACATACAGAAGTCTTCTCAAAGCAAGTAGTACTTTTGAAGGCATCATTTAGAAATTGAGTTTTTCTCAACCAGCAATAGTATAATCAAGGGAGAAAATAAATTACTTTCAGTCTTGAAAGCAACAAGAAGACTCTTATCTCTTATCCTCCAAAAGCATCATTTAATTACTCACAGTGATACCAACTCAATGGACCACCTATCCCAATTAAGTGGCAGTGCATGCTAATTATCGTTAGACTTAATTGGTTTCCCAATTCAGCAACTTTCCTGATCAAGTATGCCCCAGTTAAGCGGCGCTTATTGAACCACCTGAATCTTGCTTAGAAGAAAACAAAAGAAAATTTCCCATCTCAAGTTCAGCAAATAAAACCTAGTCTCACCAAGTCACACTAGCCAGTTTCTAATTAATTTTGCAAAGCATACACTAAGGTTGGGTACAGGAAATGTAACTTCTTCCAATTAGAAATATTTTATTAAAATCAAGTAAGATTAAGCAAGACATTTCAAACAATAATCAATAAATGTGTAAAAATTTATAGTTACTAATATATCCCCCCCCCCTTTCTTTGTTACACACATTTTTGTGACCACAATGCTGTGATTATTTCATCCTTTCGGATTTTCCAGCCCAAGATATACTGTGTTTGGTAATAATATATCTTGAAGAGTAGGTAAGCATAAAGAAAGAAATTATGTTCTTGGGCTCAATTTCCCAGAGAAATTTATGTGCGTATTTGTTTCCTAGCTTAAATTACGCTAGTAAAACATGAATGTAAAATTTGCTACTTGAGAACCACTCAGGACAAAGGGGACCTTGGTTGAGTGGGCTCCACAATCTGCATAGATCTTGAAAGATAAGGGATGAGTATACACTGGAAGGAGATATTCCTCCTTCTGGAAAGTTGAACATTTGCAGTGGCATATAATATAGACACACATGCTCTTGTATTAGAAGTTGTGTCTCTGGAGTAATTATTCCAGGTATGCTCAATGACAACTACATTCCCTCATTTGAACAGGTTAGTGGGACTTAAGAAAACAGATTGGCATTTTTGAGCTCTTCTTTGAGTAAAGCTAGAATTCTCACCTTAGACCCTTCCTACCAGAATGAGAAAGAGGGTAGCATAAAGTAAAAAAATAAAATAAAATAAAATAAAATAAGTGACTTCAAAATTCCCACTTTCCTCAGGTCACCCTGCAAAATGATGAGAGAAGAGAAAAGGTGGGACAATCTGGTGAAATCAGGTAATGTCCTGGGGCCAGTTTTTGCATTTCCTTCCGGGGCAGGAAAACCGTTCATATATATCTGGGAAAGAGCCCTGTGACTGTAGTGGCCTTGGTGAAAAGCCTGCTGCACAACATGTGTGGCACCAGCAGTAGTATCACCCAGAAGGATGTGTTGATGTACTGCCCAGTGGCCTTAGCGAGCCTTGCTCTTTGTAAGCATACTGGGTAGTCGAGGATTGCAGATCAGCAGGGAAATAGTGAAAAGAGCAGGGGCATACTGAGTGGGAGGGGGGCTGACAAAATGACAGCACACAAACCGGCAGGGAGGGGAGTGGAAAGCCACTTGCGATGGACTCTAGGCCTCTCCTTGACAAGTGTTGTCCCATCTCCTATGGTCACAAAAAGGCCTATCAAGGAATTCAAGGCTAATCAACAAGAAGACTTTAACCTTGTGGAGTTGGCAACAGTCTGCAAGATACATTCTCAGAAGCAAGGAAAGGATTCTTCAGAAATTGCCACGTTATGACTATTGTAATGATATTGCCTTGGTCGGGGGTGCTTCTTATGCCACTAACAGAGAATAATAATAATAGTAACAAACAATATTGTTATAGTTGATCTCAGTTTTCTTTGGACTGGCTTAAAATACTTTGGTTTTGGGCTCATGGTTCCAAAAGGAAAACAAAATGTATAACTTAAAGTGATTTACCTCTTTTTCAATAATCTAGCACACATTACATAAGAGTTGGTGGAAGCTGCTACGACAGTAGAGCCAGTTATTGGCAACATCAAAACATAGGAAGACACCTAAATTTCTAAGATGCTATTTAATTAATATCAGTGTTCCCTACAATATGTAAAATCACCTCAAATACAATTTCTATATTCTACTCATAATTAAATTAAGCTGTTTTGGCCTAAAGCAGAGCTGGGAAGCAGAATCATTGAAGGTAGGACTGGAAGGGAACTCAGATATCACCTATTCCCAGACACTCATGTTACATCTAAGGAAATAAAACTTTAATCACTAAATGAGTTAGCCCAGGAAAAACCATGTTTCCCGATTATTATGTAGTACTATTTTTGTTATCCATGTGGGAAGCCTCCTAAGTACTTTCACTGTGCTTTCTGGTCTCTTCCTTCTTACCAAACTAGGAAGAGATCTGATACTAGGTATACACTGCTGTGTTTTCTGAAGACCTTTCTTCCAAATCTGATAGAATCAAATAGCAGTATATCTTGATATGTTGATGTTTTCTATCTGCCAAGGGAAACTTCTCTGAGAAAATAAAGAAAAGTTCATTTCTGGACATGGCTGGATAGGTGGGCAAGACCAGAGGAATCATGGCTGTTCCAAGTGCTGGGGAATCATTGCAATCCTTGTCAGTGAATAAGTGATTCAGGTTCGACTGTAAGATGAGTGAAAAAAAATAAAATAAAGAAAGATCTATCAAGTAACCAGCAATACTAGTTACAGTTATTTATGTGGACTGCTAAACTGTTGGCCTGAATTATCATGGAACAACACGTATTATTATGTGTCAGATTAACTTTGTTGTAAGTTGCATTTCATTCGTTTTCTGTCATTGGCAATTATTGAACACTTTCTCTATACCAGATTACTCTTTTTTTTCCTTTCTTTTCCCACTGAGCTCCAAGTTTCCCTTTTTAGTATTTCCCTGTCTTCCTCCTTATCTCTGGTGATAACCTTATCCCTGTTATAACTGACTTCATTGGTTGCCTGCCAACAGCTACTCCCTATCTTCGTTAAAGAAACAAAATTTTGTTCACATATACCCACATTTTTTTTTCTCTACAGCCATATTTTTGAGGAAAGGACAGCCCCAGCCCCAACAGATTTTGGTTTGTCTAAATTAATTCTGGTCACTTCATTTTCTTTTCAATGATGTGTTTAGGAAGGACTCGGCTGTGGCTAATGAGATATGAAGGTAAAACTACTGAAAAAGCTCCACAGAAAGATTTCTTAGCTCTTAAAATGAAACTCCAAAGGAAAATATGTGGAGTATTTTTTTTTCACCATATCTTGACTTTACATGAAAATATAAGTAAGAATGCGATGGATGCCAGAAGCTGTGGCAACCATCTTGTGACCATGAGGAAATTAGCACATCTAGGGATACCAGATAAACACAGCAGATACGAGAGATGGGAAGAACTTGGATCCTCTATATTTTTGAACAACTAAATTGCCTGACACTGAGCCACCCTACCCGGGATTATGTGTTATATAAGACAATACAATGTTCTTATTATTTAAGTCTTTTGTTTAGATTTCATTTTACTTGTTGCTAAGTCCATTTCATAATATAGTAGTGACCTGGTTAAGTGAAAAGATTTTAAAGTGAGACAAACCAGTATTTAAGGGCTTGCTCTTCCACTTAATATCCGTTATTTAGGCCGGGCGTGATGGTTCACGCCTGTAATCCCAGCACTTTGGGAGGCCAAGGCGGGTGGATCACAAAGTCAGGAGATCGAGACCATCCTGGCTAACAAGGTGAAACCTCGTCTCTACTAAAAATACCAAAAAAAATTAGCCGGATGTGGTGGCGGGCGCCTGTAGTCGCAGCTACTCGGGAGGTTGAGGCAGGAGAATGGCGTGAACCTGGGAGGCAGAGCTTGCAGTGAGCCGAGATCGTGCCACTGCACTCCAGCCTAGGCAACAGAGAGAGATTCCTTCTCAAAAAAATAAAAAATAAAAAAACAATATATATATATAATCTGTTATTATTCATCAAATCTAAAAATGCATAATATAACACATAGGATTCATTAAAAGAAAGTTAGTTCATAATTAAACAGTGGCTCTGGGTAATAGCAAAAATTAACAAGGTAAAAAGGATATTTAGAAGGAACATCAGAGACAATATCAAAAGGCATAAAGCATGCAACTGTGATCTAGACTTATTTTATGTCCAGAATTTATCTTCCCAGAGCATTGAGTCAGAACTAATGAACTTCTAAAAGCTCTGAATATGTCTAGATTTGAAACACAGAAAATTATTAATTGAAAGAAGATTTTATTGGGCATCTTTCAACACATTGTCATGCCCTGTAGGTTATGCAAGAATGAAGACATCTAAGCAAAAGTGAAGTTTGAGAAAATAAAGAAAATATAAAATATTTCATCTAAGTATATATATTTATGTATACTTTAACTTAAGTATATATAAATCATGCATTCTTAATTCTGCAGTAGACTTGCCTTCAGGATACAATCTGATTGAAAGTGCCTTGAAGGCAAATCGTTGGTCTAGGAATAGTAGAGGAGGAAGGCCACTTATAAGAGTGAATTAGACAGGGTAAATATCTTCAAGAATAATTCAGGGGTGTCCAATCTTCTGGCTTCCCTGGGTGACATAGGAAGAAGAAGAGTTGTCTTGGGCCACATGTAAAATATACTAACACTAACGATGGCTGATGAGCTAAAAAAAAAAAAAAAAAAGAAAGTCACAAAGCAATCTCATAATGTTTGAACAAAGTTTACAAATTTGTGTGTTGGGCCACATTCAAAGCGATCCTGGGCCACATGCAGCCCACGGGCCACAGGTTGGACAAGCTTGGAATAATTGATGGGTCATACAGCTTATCCAAAAATGAAGGAGTGGAAAAGAAACGCAGTAGGAAAAGGGATTCATTTGTTCAACAAATACTGAATGATCACTACATGCTAGGCAGTATGACGGGTGCTTGGAACACGTGTCTTTTCTCAGAGCTTTCAGTCAAGTTTACCATTCAACCACTCATACATACCACCCACACATGTCTGATATTAACTTCCAAGGTAAAGTATTAAAAATGAAAATACTAATTATATTTCAAAATTGCTTAAAATATTTATATTGGTTATATCCCAAGAGCAATTTAATAGATGGATGTATTTTGTCTTACTTTTAAAGAAAAATGTATTGTTATTGGAGAATCTCTACTAGCAGTTGCTGAAAAAGAACCTGGTTCTGGGATATTCCAGAGAGCTCTGGCTGAGTGACATTCTCTGCTGATTTACAAAGTGGCATCAGATCATCTTTCCCACACCTGGAGCAGCTCAGCCAACAGCAGCTTGCAGGTGTCACTCAAGTCTGGCTAAAGGCTGGCTCCAGCAAGTCTAGCCAGGACCTGGCTTAGAGATTCCCTGTCCTGGAAGGGCCTACCTCCCGTGAGTGTGGGCCCCTCCCACCATGAGTACATGTATGTGGGTGGTTGGGAGTATGTACACTCCCCCTTGTATCCCTCCATCCGTCCATTTCAGCGTCTAAATAGTATCAAGCCCTTAAAATAACATTAAGACACGTTCCAGCTTGCCCTGCCAGTCAAAGGAAAAAGGAGAAAAAAAAAAAAAATTGAAACCCTGCATTTCAGAACCCCAAGGGCTTTTTGATTTGTTAGGTTTAGCGGTTTAGAGGATTAAAAAGGCAGAAATATTAGGAAGAAAAAAGAAAAAAGAAAGAGCCAGCATATTAATTGAAGCAAATCTAATGAGATGCTGGGCTACAGGGAAAAAAAAAATGGTTCTACTACCTGAGCAAATCTTATTTATTATTCTTGCTTTGCAATTAAAAATTTTAAAAACTAATAATAATTTCCTAGACATTTTTCTTTTTCTTGCTATGCTAGTCACATTTCCCAAATCCTTTATCAACGCTGCTCTGCATATGAATGGGCTGTAATTGAACTGTCACATTCATGAAGGTCAGTAACCTTTCATTAGGAAGAATGTGCCTTTCTTGATAAATTGTAAAGTCCCAGAGGATTTGAAAGCATATTCAAAAAAAAAAAAACTCTGTCTACTATACCTTGATGAACAAAATGCAGATTTTTCTCTGTTATTTTGTGCATGAGGCAAGAGAGCGATTGCTTGTGTTTTTATTTAACATGCTTTTTGTGTGGGGTTTTTTGTTGTTGTTATTGTTTGGGTTTTGGGGGGTTTTTTGAGCCAAGGGAGGGGAATTCTCTCCACAGCCCACCAACCTTGGCTTTTTGTGTTTTTTGTTTTGTTTTGTTTTGTTTTTGTCAGCAGCACGACGCAAAATTGTCTAATGGAAGCTTTTCCTGAGTCTTTAAGCAAAATGAAAAACTTAAATTTCCTTTCTTAAAAAAATAACACCATTCTCTCTGCTGTTTTAAAAAGTAGAAATTATGAATGCTATTCTTTCCCCTTGTAGTACACTTCAGCACTTGCTATGGAAAAGACCAAAGTCATTATGTGGAGATAAAGACCTACCTGAGTGATGCATATTCTGCTAACCCCACCCTATGATTTAGGCAGTGATTAACACGGACAAGCACTCAGCATCCCCACTTTTGTGTTGAAGATGGCTGACCCCAGAGTGATCCAGGCCCTGCCAGGGATGTCTGCTTGTGCTTCTGCGTAATTTGACTTGAGACCCCTCTGGGGATTTTCAACCAAAGCTTTAGGCTCACTCAACCAGCACTAACTCCCAGCTCCCCTTTAGTTCAACCAGTCTTTCGTCCCAAACTACAAGTTATGTGTAGCTTTTAATGTATGCTTGTATTTTAAATGGAAGCTATCTGCCAATTTTGAAAACAGTTTCTTTATTCAATTTTATCAACTTTAAATTGGATTCAAAAGATTGTTCTGGCATTATTGAGATTGAAATGCACATAAACTACTTAACAGGAAATCTGAAAGATATTAGTGCAAAGACTAAAATAAAAAGACATGAGGAACACAATGTACCACGGTTTCTGCCATAATGATAGGCTCCATGCTTATTTGATACATTTAGGGCGTCAATTCCTTAAGAACTTTCTCACTGCCCAAACATGTAATACATAATCTGTACATGAAAAATTTAAATTTCTTATGAAACAAACAGAAAATAGAAGGATTTTAGCAGAGAAATTCTTTTTACAAAGAATGTGGTCTTCATTTGTAGGTCTATGTGGTTGCATGGTGGGAATAGCAAAGAACTTTCTATCAAAAAAACTAGTAATTCCCTACAGTATTAGGTAGGTTCCAACTAAGAAAACAAAACCTATACCAGATAATTCAAAAGAAAAAAAATGTAATGGTGGGAAATGTTTTTTGAAGATATGAAAAGAGCTGAGAGAGCAAACAGGGAAGGTAACAACTGCAGAAAGTGGCTACCACTTTTAGGGCTACAGGGACATTGAGAAGAGGTGGTGTTACTGGGGCCTCAATGATGACTGCAGCTGCCAATACCTGTGCATTGGGATGTTGCAGCTAAGATGTACAAGTACAGCTATGAAACATGATTTCAAGGAAATCAAACTAATGATTCAACCAAGTACATTAGAATTGGCCTCCAAACAGCTCAATTGGTAGAAGCTGGAACTATGGTAAGCCTGCCTGGAGGGAGCTGGCAATTTGAAGAAAAGAACTGGCTAGTGGGAGCTAAAGCCACTGACGAGACACAGCAGAGACCTTGCTAGGCAGAAAGAAACAGGGAAATCATCTAATGTCTCCTTCCCTCTGGTGCCAGTCTCCCACTAGAGCCTCCCCTTGTTACCTGGAAGCAAGCTGGTAAGAAAGCCTGGAAAAGGTTGATGTAGGTTCAAACCCTAGTAGGATAGGGATAAGGGCATGGAATGCATTTCAGAGCTAAGAGGGATGGTCTGCAGTACCATTGGCTTTTTTGTATACATTCTCACAATGGGTAGTCTAGGGCAAACACTATTGTAGGGTCCTATGAATAGGATATATAGGCAGGAAAATAACAGCATTAAATCATGGCAATAAAATAGACAATAAGTTCTTAAATTCATCCTAATAGCCAACAAAACAACTCCTGAGCAATTTCTCAAGAAGTAAAGGAAAAAGAATCTTCATAAAGAAAACCCATTTTGCCAGCGAAATGGCCAAACCTAACCATTTTCAATGTTTTGACTAGGTGGAACTTACAAAAAACTATAGTCCCTGTTATGAATCTCACCAGGGCAAGATCAATACTTAGTTCACAATTTCCTGGGATGGGTTTGATGATTCTTGTTGGGTTTAGTTGGTGCTCATTGCAGCCACCCATACATGTGTGTTCAGATGCTGAGAACCACGACTGTGCTTAAAACCATGATTTCAAAGAAATAAAACTACCTTTTAAAAAAAGTTTGCCAGAATTCACCCCAAAATAGTTTTTTCTTCTTTAACCCCTTTGACAAATTTAAATATTTTAAAATATCAGACTAAAAGTCTTCCCAATACTGCAGATAAAGATAGAATATTCTTGGATGTACATAAGATTTTATTTTGGATTATTATTATTTTTGTTTTGTTTTGTTTTGTTTTGTTTGTTTTTTGAGATGGAGTCTTACTCTGTAGCCCAGGCTGGAGTGCAATGGCACGATGTCAGCTCACTGTAACCTCCACCTGCCAGGTTCTAGGGATTCTCATGCCTCAGCCTCCTGAGTAGCTGGGATTACAGGCATGCACCACCACGCCCAGTTAATTTTTATATTTTTAGTAGACATGGGGTTTCACCATGTTGGCCAGTCTGGTCTCGAACTCCTGACCTCAGGTGATCTGCCTGCCTCAGCCTCCCAAAGTGCTGGGATTACAGGCATGAGCCACTGTGCCCGATCATATTTTGGATTATTACGTGCCTTTTTTTAAAAAAAGAAATGATTATTCAGGGGATTCAGAGTTGTTTTTGTTTGTTTGCTTGTTTTTGTTTTTGGTTGGAACTTTTAATCTTCCAATCTTCTTCCAATTATTCTGGGTTACTTTTCCCTGTGCAGTTGAGAAAGAGTTGAGATGACTGACTAAAAGGGAAGGAGCCTTTTGACATAAGCTCAGAATTTCTAAGCCACTGGAGAAGACTGAGTTACTCAGTCTTCACACCCACATGATTCCTTGGGTCAATGATGTCCTTGCTCTGACAGCGGCTTTCAAATTAGAATTCCACAAGTTCCCCAAAAGTATAAAGTAATGTTTGAAGGGAAAAGAGAAATATAAGGTAGAGGTATGTGTGGGGCCGGGGGGAGGGCGGCGTTCTGTGCCCTCGAATCCTACCTCAATCATAGGAGCTTCACTAATTAGGGTGTAGATATTGTGGTTAGCTTCCTAAGCCATTTCATCACATTCTTCACCAGTCTCTCATCCTGCACGATGAGGAGCTGACTGCAGTCCTTAAGCCAATTATGTAAACTCATTGTTCCTTTTACTGATTGGTTCAGCAGTTCAGGCAGAAGCCAATCAGCAGATGCCATGCCCCTGTAGACATTTGAACCAGGTTGACCCCTTGAGACCTAAAGAAAGGAAATTAGTTCTGTTAGGAGAGAAGTGCTTTCTCCAGCCACATGTGAACAAGGAAGAGTGGCCGCCCTGCATGCACTTGGAGCCATCTGATGACTACTGGGGGAATCATTCTTGGGATCAAATAACACTGGCATGGTTAGTACAGAGAGAGAGTAAGAACTGGTCCCTTGCAGAATTTATCAAACAGCTGACTCAGTCAACCCTAAAGCTCAAATGTCTTCTTATGTAAGATAATA